>NC_000004.12:83012290-83163805 GCF_000001405.40 Homo sapiens | reverse complement strand
TACTAAAAATACAAAAAAAATTAGCTGGGCATGGTGGCAGGTGCCTGTGGTCTCAGCTACTCAGGAGGCTGAGGCAGCAGAAAGGCGTGAACCCAGGAGGCCAAGCTTGCAGTGAGCCGAGATCGTGCCACTGCACTCCAGCCTGGGTGACAGAGCAAGACTCCATCTCAAATAAATAAATAAATTAATTAATAGAAAAAAGTAGTAGAATTGGATAGGTCAAACTGTCCACATAGGAACAATAAGCAGAGGGAAGAGAAAAAAGATAGGTTGTGGGGGTGCAGAACCCAACAGGAATTGCACACACAAGAGGAAGTTCCAAACAAGATGTGAGTAAATCTGTAGGGACACCAGGTTCACATAATGAGTTCTAAGTTCTAGGACTTGCATTTTTAATACTTTGAACTAAGAAGCAAGGTATTGTGTTTATCCTTCACAGTGATTGCTTTTCAGACTTACTGTAGAGAGAATTTACGTATGGTGGGAAACTGGATTAGACAACTTTTAGAATCTTCCTCCCTTCGTGCTCATGATCCATGATGCTGTTGATGTTCTCTAAACCTGGTTGATATTTTGAGCTGGATGATTTTTTGTTGTGGGGGCTGTTGTGTGTCTGTGGGATGTTTAACAACACCCCAGCCTCTACCCACTAGATACTAGTAGCAACCTTCCCCCAGTTGTGAAAACCAAAAATATGTTCAATCTCAATGTCCCTGGAGGTTAAAATGGTCTCTGGTTGAGAACCAGTGATCTAAACCTAAATTATATAATTCTAGGTCAAGTTTTTGAGGATTCATTTCAAGATATCAAAAACAAATAAGTAACTCAATAAATACATAAAGAGAAAGCAAAGTTAGTCACATACTGTCTAGCTTCCCTTCCCAAAATTTTGGCAAGGACACTCTAAGAAAATGTTTACCTTTTATTCCTGAGCAAGGCTTGCCCATTTTAGCTGGCCAAGATTTAGAATTCATGTCTGGGAGTTCAGTGGAAAGAAGAATGAAGGCTTCGGGTTCCACTGAGTTGAATTCAAATTCCAGCCTTGCCACTCTGTCACTTGAGATATGTAGCTTACTTTCTGCTTCTTTTCCTTCTTTCCACAGCCTTGTAGAACAGGTACACATATCCTACAATATCTAGGAGAACATAAAGGGAGTGGGATACTAGGGATACTATTGGTTTTCCCTCCAGGGCCAAGTACTACATTTATGTAACTAATATTCATGAGATACCATATGCCAAGCACCATTTTAAGGGCTTTTAAAATATTAATTCATTTAATCCCCCTGACAGCCTAAAAATCTGGATACTGTTAGCATCTCATTTTCATAGACAAGGAAACTGAGGCACAGAGAGTTGAAGTCACTTTTCCAGGGTGATGCAGCTAGTCAATGGGAAAGCTGGAGTCTAAGGCCAGAATCCATGCTCTTACCCACTAGACTGTGCAGTTAGGTCCACTTTCTGATCTTTTGGTTTTGTAACATTTTCTGTGACGCATTATTCATGTATTTTCCCTGCAGAGACTGGGAAGAGAATGAAGGGCCAACACTTTGAGACAAGCCTCATTTACTCATCTATAAAATAAAGAGGTTGGAGTAGCAATCATGATTTTTACTTGGCCTTGTCACTTAACCTCTTTGCCTTAGTTTTCTTGTCTGCAGTAAAAAGAGTTTAATCAGTTTTAACTTCCTAGATATTCTGGTCTGCTGTGACTATTAAATAGAGATTAATGTTAAATAGAGATGAAGCATACAAAAATGCTTTGTAAAGCAAACCGGTCTACACAAGTGTAAGCCATTGTCATTATACTGGCAACATATCATGCTGACATTTTTTTCCCACTGACTTTCACTAGTACTTGGATTCTCTTGTACTTGCAGTGATTTGCAGTTTTCAAAATATCTTCATGGACATAATCTTATTTGAGCCTCCCAAATATGAGCAATGACTAAAATCCAAGCCTAGCCCATTGGCCAGCCTACACCACCACACTATCATTATCCTTCTGGGTTCGGTGCTCTCAACACTTTTCCCTATCATGAAATCAGGCCCTGCTATTAGCCACATTTCATTTGAAAGAGAGACAATGGTGTATGTGTCAAGAGGAAGGACAATGCTTAACTGACATAGTCTTATCACATTAATATGACAACCCAATGAGACAAGTTGTATTACACTCACTTTAAATATGTCAAAACTGAGCCTCAGGCCGGGTACAGTGGCTCAGGCCTATAATCCCAGCACTTCGGGAGACTGAGGTGGGCAGAACCTGAGGTCAACCGTTCAAGACCAGCCTGACCAACATGGAGAAAACCCGTCTCTATTAAAAATACAAAATGAGCCAGGCGTGGTGGCGCATGCCTGTAATCCCAGCTACTCAGGAGACTGAGACAGGAGAATCGCTTGAACCTGGGAGGCGGAGGTTGCAGTGAGCCGAGATCATGCCACTGCACTCCAGCCTGGGCAACAAGAGCGAAACTCTGTCTCAAAACAAACAAACAAACAAACAAACAAAACAAAACTGAGCCTCAGAGAAGTTAATTTACTTGTCCAAGGACACACAGAGAGTGGAAAGTAGATTTGAACCCAGGTTTGCTTGTCTCCATACATCCAAACCGTGACCTAGACCCTAGCTACTCAAAGCAAGGGTCAGGGACCATCAGCATTGGCACCAACTGTGAACTTATTAGAAAGGTAAATCTCAGGACCCACTCGAGACCTACTGAGATGGGATCTACATTTTAGAAGGATACTTAGATGAGTCCTGTGCACATTATAACTTAACACCACTGATCTATATTGATGTTCAGCATAGATCTATGTATGACATACAGAAGTGCAAAATCTGTTGAGAAACACATATCTATATCTATATATCTACACACACATATATCCTAGTGTGTTTTCAAAACATACCTCTAAACATTTTATTTTAAGTAATGGAATGTAGAGATTTAAAAGCAGATGACATGAGTCCCTGTGTTAAATTAGGAATTGAATTAACTGATACATAGTATACACTTGGCTAGAAGGGATTTTTGTATATAGCAATTGCAACATATGCCCATTCCAGGATTTATATCAGAACTTCTCAAAACTTACTCACTGGTATTTTTTTTCTACATCAAACACAACATATTTTATCCTTGTTCCAAATTATTCTACACAACAAGCATATGTGTCCAGAGCTATGCAAACAGTTATAAACCACTGAAAGAATATTTAAAACACAGTATTTGCCCCCAGAGGAATTTTTAGCTTTGGAAGTTGGCTATGGTTTGAATGTCCCCTCCAAAACTCCTGTTGAAACTTAATCCTTAATTGAGAGGTAGGACCTTTAAGAGGTGATTGGATCACGAGGGCTCTCCCTCATGAATGGATTAGTGGGTTATCTTGGGAGTAGGACTGGTGGCTTTATACAAAGAGGAAGAGAGACCTGAGAGAGCGTGCTCATTCCCCCACCATATGATGCCTTGGGCCATTTTGCCCTGGGACTCTGCAGAGAGTCCCCACCAGCAAGAAGGCTCTCGCCAGATGCAGCTCTTCCACCTTGGGCTTCTCAGCCTCCATAACTGTAAGAAATAAATTTCTTTTCTTTTTTTTTTTTGAGACACAGTCTCTATGTCCCCCAGGCTGGAATGCAGTGCCACAATCTCGGCTCACTGCAAGCCCCACCTCCTGGGTTCATGCCATGCTCCTGCCTCAGCCTCCCGAGTAGCTAGGACTACAGGCACCAGCCACCATGCCCGGATAATTTTTTTTTTTTGTATTTTTAGTAGAGACAGGGTTTCACCGTGTTAGCCAGGATGGTCTCAATCTCCTGACCTCACGATCCACCCACCTCAGCCTCCAAAGTGCTGGGATTACAGGCGTGAGCCACCATGCCCGGCCTCTCTTCTTTATAAATTACCCAGTTTCAGATATTCTGTTATAAGCAACAGAAAATTGACTGAGACAGATCTCTTGAACTTTAGCATAGTTTTCCATTTTGATATGTTGGATAAACTAATTTTGATTGGCTATGCTGATGTTTCTCCCCAAAGCATTATTTTTATTAAAGAAGCAATTTTCTGTTAAAAATATATCCTTACTGCGACATTTTTCTTTCTTTAATGATACACACCCATCCACACAGCAGCAGCAGCGGCAGCTCTGTGTAGATTTTGATACATATATAGGTATTGGTTTACAAATTGATATGATTTGGATGTTTGTCTCCTCCAAATCTCATATTGAAATATAATCCCTAATGTTGGAGGTGTGCCCAGTGGAAGGTATTGGATCATAGGAGCAGATCCCTCATGAATGGCTTAACACCATCTCCTTGGTGATGAGTGAGTTCTGTCTCAGTTCACATGAGATCTTGTCATTTAATAGAGTCTGGGACCTCCCTCTGCTCTCTTCTTTCCTCCCTTGCCAGGTGATATGCTCCTGCCTTGCCATCTGTCATGATTGAAAGCTTCCTGAAGCCCTCACTAGGAGCAGATGCCAGCACCATGCTTCTCATACAGCCTGCAGAACCACGAGCCAAAATAAATCTCTTTTCTTTATAAATTACCCAGCCTCAGGTATTTCTTTATTTTTTCTTTTTTTCTTTTCTTTCTTTTTTTTTTTTTTTTTTTTTTTTTTTTTTTGAGACGGAGTCTCACTCTGTTGCCCAGGCTCTGTAGTGCAGTGGCGCAAATCTCGGCTCACTACAACCTCCACCTCCCAAACTTAAGCAATTCTCCTGCCTTGGCCTCCCGAGTAGCTGGGATTACAGGCATGTGCCACCACGCCCAGCTAATTTTTATATTTTTATTTTTAGTAGAGACGGGGTTGGGCACCATATTGCCCAGGCTGGTCTTGAACTCCTGACCTCAGGTGATCCTCCCTCCTCGGCCTCCCAAAGTACTGGGATTACAGGCATGAGCCACCACACCCAGCCTCCTCCCAAATACTTTAAATCATCTCTAGATTACTTATAATACCTAATACTATGTAAATAGTTGTTATACAATATTGGGTTTTTTAATTTGTATTATTTTTTACTGTTGTACTGGGTTTTTTTTCCCCAAATATTTTCTATTTGCAGCTGAATGAATTCACAGATGTGCCCATGGATATGGAGGTTCAACTGTATATATGTAACATTCAGAATTGGATAACACATTACCTCTACAATTTATTTTTATTTATAAATATTTCTCAGACAATAGATGGAGTTCATATCATGTGCCAACCCTGATCAAATGGTAGTAGCATTCCATATACTGTCTTGTGAAGGATTCTAAGATATATACAGCAGGAATGTTCTGGAATCAATTAGCAACATCTACTGTGTGTAGGGGAAGGAGATTTTGAGGTGTGCCTGCCACACATTGCCTTTCCTGCACTGCAATCCTGCCTCCTGCTCCAAAAAGTTGTTTTTACTGTTCCTCATGCATCGCACACATTCTTTCCCTAGGCATTTCTTCAAAATATTTCCACTGCCTGGAATTCTCTACTTCCTACCTCTAGACAAGAATTCCATGCCCTCCAATCATCCTTCCCCCAATTTCTCCTGAACCCTGTGATAATTCTATTTCTACTAGCTTTTTGCGGGGAGAGGAGGGGCAGGGAGGGTGAAATCCGAAAAAATAAAACTTGCTCTGACCACGTGCTTGGACTTCTCCAGCTCCTAGCCCTAAATAAGATGTTTTTCTTACACCTCCGAAGAGGTCAGGGAGATTCTTGGCACATATTTGTTTTTACTGAAATTGAATAGGCTGGGCGCGGTGGCTCACGTTTGTAATCCCAACATTTTGGGAGGCCGAGGTGGGTGGATCACTTGAGATCTGGAGTTCAAGACTAGCCTGGCCAACATGGTGAAATCCCATGTCTACTAAAAATACAAAAATTAGCCAGGCAGGGTGGCAGGTGCCTGTAATCCCAGCTACTCAGGAGGCTGAGGCAGGAGAATTGCTTGAACCTGGGAGACAGAGGTTGCAGTGAGCTGAGATAACACCACTGCACTGGCGTGCACTGAGATTGCACTCCAGCCTGGGCAACAGAGTGAGACTCCATCTCAAAAAAAAAGAAGGAAAGAAAGTACCACTCACTTCCTCTGCAAGCTACAAATGCCCTTCCAGGGCTGTGCAAGTATCTCTATGGTTTTAGGTCTTTTGTTTTACCATTGGAGATTCTCACCTAATCGGTTCCCTTCTTAATTACTTTCGCCTCATATAAATTTATATTAAACTCCCTCTGGCTTTGTAATTATGCACAATACCAAAATGAAGCCAAGTTACTACAAGAAAAGATTTTGAGTGAATGACCCTTTTCTTTTCTTGCTCTGTTCCGATTTGGTCCTCAGAGGACTCAGTGTCTGGGAGGAAAGTTTGGAAAATAACATTTAGATTTAAAAGCAGTCAAAATAAGCAATAAGGCTGTTATGGAACTCTTCACCACTCTCACCTTTGTACAATCCTTCTAACACTTAAGAAGCACTTGGGGGTGCTCATTAAACATACAGATTCCTCAGTCTCCTTCCAGGCATATTAAATCCAAATTTCTAGAGATGTGACATTTTTAACAAGCCGCTCAGGTAATTCTTCCACTAAAGTTTGAAAAATAAAAGAAAAATTTGTTCATGCAAGTTTTTAATTTCATTAAATAAGTTACACCATAAATGTTAGCTAACAATATGACAGTGGTTCTCAAAAACAGAAAGTCTCCGTAGACAGAAACCAGTGGAAAATATCTATTATGTAGAAGATTTGAATTAATAATACTCCATTGTAACCAGCACTACAAAACACTCTTACTATACAAAAATTAAAAAATGATCTTGCCTCATCACAAATTTAAATTCAATTGCTGGACAATATTATCCATTCTCATGACTTACAACCATCACCTCTCTGATGGTTCATTCTTTAACCCGTATTCTATTGCATGTCTGCTTTGTGCTAGGCACTGTGGTAGGATTCCCCAGCCAGCTCTTCACTACACCTGTCAGTTAGTAGTCTTTGCACTACCATATAGTCACAGGTTTTCCTCTGTTATTAGCAAAGACATCATTACCCTGCCAATTAATCAGAGAAAAGAAAGACCTTCAGATTCCATTTAAATATTTATCTACACCTTGTAGTTTTAAACATGATTCCTGGTGTGATTTGACCATAATTATATAGACTTCTCAATCTGTAGTCACCCGACAGGTTCTTCTTGCCCACCAGACAGATAAAACCAATTCACGGAGACAGAAGTATTGCAGTAGAGAAAGAGTTTAATAATCACAGGGCTAGCCAAACAGAAGGAAAGGAGTAGTTACTCAAATAAGCCTTCCCAAAGGCTCAGAGGCTGGGGTTTTTCAAGGATAGTTTGTTGGGTGGGAGGCTAGAAAATGGGGACTGCTGATTGGTTGGGCTCAGGATGAAATAACAGGGGGTCAGAGCTGTCTTCAGGTGCTGAGTCCATTCTTGGGTGGAGGTCACAAGACCAGATGAAACAATGTATTGGTATGGGTCCATGTGGCACTGGCTGATCAATCAGAATGCAGGATCTGAAAAATATCTCAAATACCAATCTTAGGTTTTACAATAATCATATTACTTATAGGAGCAATTGGGGAGGTTACAAATCTTGTGACCTCTGGCTGTATGACGACCCCTGAGCCCCAAACAAGAGGGGGTTAGTTTTGGTAAGGGGCTGTAATCGTCTTTGTTTAAATGATAAACTAAATTCCTCCCATAGTCAGCTTGGCCTATGCCCAGGAGTGAGCAAGGACAGCTTGGAGGTTAGAAGCAAGATGGAGCCTGCTGTGTTAGATTTCTCTCTCCGTCGTAATTTTTGCAAAGGTGGTTTCAAATTTGGGTTATTTTCCCTTTGTGTCATAAAGCAAGATCTTGATAATAAATATCAGAGGTACTGGTCTCCGGCAGTTCAAAGTTCCTTGGCTTTTATTGTCCTATAGAGCTTCCACTCTTCTTTGTGGGGCAGGGAGAGGGATTAGGCTGTTGGTGGGAATCAACTGATGGCAGCCACAGATCTCAGAGCAGACAAAAGTAATCAGGAAGAGGAGTAGGGTAAGGCAAAGACATAAGACACCCGTTTAGGAAGGATGAAGAAAAAGCAAAATGATATGTAAAATACTGGTCTTCAGAGCTGGCTATGTCAGCATCACTTAAAAATTTCACATAAACCTTGTGCAGTGGTGAGCACCTATAGTCCCATGTACTGGGGAGGCTGAGATGGGAGGATCTCTTGAGCCCAGGAGTTCAAATCCAGCCTGAACAACATAGCAAGAGCCCCATCTCTTAAATAAGAAAAAAAAGCCTTTACACACCCAGGATCCACCTCGGACTACTGAATCAGAAACATGTATCTGTATTTTTAACCAAGCACTCTGGTTGAACCTAGTGCATAGCCTGGTTTGGGAAGCACCATGATAGTATCTTTGATTGGGGCCTTCCATGGCAACATGGTGGAGAAATATTGAAGGCAGCAAAGCAGAGGGAAAATGGGGCATTATTGCCACTGGTCAGGGAGGATAAGAAGTGATCAGGAGCAGGACTACTAGCCAAACAACGGCACAGGGCTATGGTTATATTTGAAATAACAAAGTAGAAAATGTTAACATTAGTCATGGTGAAACCAAGTGCATTTTTTCTTGAGGTTACTGACTGGGTAGGAGCTCTGAGGCTTGGTGCCTGGATGAAAAGTATAAGCACCAATCTAAGGAACTTCCTGTTGATTTTGCAAAGCTGAGTTTCTCTGTGAGGCCTTGAAGTCTCTTCAAGGTGTGGTGGCTCACACCTGTAATCCCAGCACTTTGGGAGGCAGAGGTGGGTGGATCCCCTGAGGTCAGTAGTTGAAGACCAGCCTGGCCAACATGGTGAAACCCTGTCTCTACTAAAAATACAAAAAAATCAGCTGGGCGTGGTGGTGGGCACCTGTAATCCCAGCTACTTGGGAGGCTGAGGCAGGAGAATTGTTCAACCCGGGAGGCAGAGGTTGCAGTGAGCCAAGACTGTGCCATTGCACTCCAGCCTGGGCAACAAGAATGAAACTCTGTCTCAAACAAAAACAAAAACAAACACACACACACACACACAGAGACAGAGCACGGCCATTGGTAAATGGCAAACTGGCCCCTGGATGTGCTTCAGTGACATGAAGATATGTAAGTGCATGTAGTTAGCATTTTCTCCTTGACTACAGTGAGGCAGGTTACTGACATAATAAAAATTGTTTTTTTCTTCTCATTGAGTTCCATGCTATATTCTTTAACTCAAAAGCCAAAAGCTGGTAACCCATGAGTGGGTGAATTCAGCCCTTAGATGCATTTTGTTGGTCCTATACATAATGAGCCCTCTTGTATTTATTGCTTTAGTTAAATTAGTTGATTTTATTTTTTTTTTGAGACAGGGTCTCACTCTGTCACCCAGGCTGGAGTGCAGTGGTCCAATCATATCTCACTGCATCCTCAACTTCCAGGGCTCAAGATCACCCTGCCTCAGTCCCCCAAGTAGCTGGGACCACAGGTGTGTGCCACCACACCTGGCTAATTTTTTTGTTATGTGTAGAGACAGGGTCTCACTATGTTGCCCAGGCTGCTCTCAAACTCGGGCTTAAACAATCCTCCTGCCTTAGTCTCCCAAAGTGCTGGGATTACAGTCATGAGCCACTGCACCCCGCCTCTTGCTTTAATTTTAAAATAGTAGAAAACATGTAAAACTCAGATTTCCCATAAAAATTTAGTTTTCCAATCTAGATTTTAAGCTTCTGTTGAAAATTTGGAAAATATGGAAAGAGAGGTCCTCATTCTCACATGGCAGAGGTCAGCTGCCGTTGAGTGTTAGCAAACCCACAGAAAGGAATATTCACTCTGCAGTTGACATATTCATGTCCACCATTCGCTATTGTCTATTTTGTGTTTTTTCCAACTATTTCACTCACTTATTTTTCCTGCCTCGCTTTGAGTTTGCAGTCCTTGTCTGGCTCAATCACCTCTTTTTAAACGTTTCACCTCTTCAGTATTGCCATGCTTTTGAAATGTTTCTCCCATTTGTCTTCCAGGTATCTCTTTCGTTGTCTATAGTGCTGATTCAGTTTTCCTGCTTTCGATGACATTCTTGTGACTTTTGTGATTGCTCAATTTCAGGAAGTATTGCATTTTTTTTAACTTTACTGACTTTTACTTCTTTTATACTTCCAAACATACTTTTGTGGAGAAAATCTTTTTTATTTCAGAGTCTAATACCATGAGCTGAAAACTCAGTGCAGCTTAACCTTTAAGTAATAGGCCCCTGTTTTTGTGATTGAGGGAAGTTCCAAGTTCATTGGAAAGCACCTGCTGCTTAAAACAATTTAAAAAAAAATAGCTTTCTTGAGTACAGCAAATCAAAACTCCATCCCAGGGCTTTTCAAAATAGACTGGTACGCAGAGCATATTTAAGAACAATTTCTTGTTTGTTGCTATTTCCTTAGGCCTTTTTTCTTACAGAAGATCCTTTCAAGTAAAATTGCAGCAAGCTTTTTAAGCTTTTGATGCCAATATCTCTTAACTTCTCTTGCTCCCATCTCATAAAAATAATAGGACTCTAGCCCGGGTGCAGTGGTGCCTGCCTGTAATCTCAGCGCTTTGGGAAGCTGAAGCGGGAGGATCGCTTAAGCCCAGGAGTTCGAGGCTTCACTGAGCTATGATCACACCACTGCACTCCAACCTGAGTGACAGAGCGAGATCCCGTCTCTAAACATAGTAATAATAATAATAATGGGATGCTAATCTTTTCCTGAATTACCATCTAGAGTTTGCTTCCTATTGTTGTTCTCACTTTCAGCCCTAACGATTTCTCCACTTGGCATTTTCTGACCCTAAACACCCTTTCATAGTTTTCAGGGAGTTTCCCAGACATCTTGACGCCACAAACGTCATATGCAAGCATGACCTAAATGTAATTAAGGGCAGAAAAGAAAAATAACTTGGGCATGTTCAAATTGGCAAGGCAGGAGCTTCTGCAATTAAGTTGGATCTAGTATCATGACTTGTAAATTGTCCTCAACCTGCACGCTAGAACCTTGTTAGGTCAAAAGCCAGTATTCATTCATCCAACAGGAATTTTTTTTTTTTTTTTTTTTTTTTTTTTTTTTTTTTTGCTCTTGTTGCCCAGGCTGGAGTGCAATGGCGTGATCTTGGCTCACTGCAACCTCCGCCTCCTTGGTTCAAGCGATTCTCCTGCCTCAGCCTCCTGAGTTGCTGGGATTACAGGTGCCTTCAACCACTCTCGGCTAATTTTTTGTATTTTTAGTAAAGATGGAGTTTCACCATGTTGGCCGGGCTGGTCTTGAACTCCCAACCTCAGGTGATCCACTCGCCTCAGCCTCCCAAAGTGCTGGGATTACAGGCATGAGCCACTGCGCCCAGCTGGGATTTTCTTTTAGTAAGCTTTTACTTTAAATAAGTACTTTAAATAATTTCAGACTTAAAGAAAATTTGCAGAAATAGCACAAAGCATTCCTGAACACCCTTCATTTAGATTCCCCAAAAAATAACATTTTGCCACATCTGCTTAATTTTCTCTCTCTCCTCTATATATGTCTATCTATTTTGTTTTTTCTGAGTCATTTTAGAATAAATTACAAACTGGATGCCCTTTTCTCTTAAATACTTCAGTGCATACTGCCTATGAACAAGGACATCCTCCTATATAACTACAACACAAATATCAAAATCAGGAATTTAACATTTTACAATACTATTAGCTATTCAATGGACCTTATTTAAACTGTATCAATTATCTCAGTAACATTATTTGTAAGAACAGAAACTCAGTTTGGGGTCACACATTGCATTCAGTTGTCAAGCCTCTTTAGTCTCCTACAAAGTGGAAGTTTCTCAGTCTTTTCCCTGTCTTTCATGACCTTGACATTTTTTTAAGATTGCAGGTCAGTTATTTTGTAGAATATTACTCAATTTGGTTTGCCAAACATTTTTGGGTAATTAGATTATGCAATTGTGGCAGAAACCCCACAAAAGTGACACCATGTTTGCAGTGCATGATATTAGGAGGGACAGGACATCAATTTACCCATGATGGGTGAATTAATATGGATTAACTTTGATGACTTGGTTAAGATAGTGTCTTCCAGGATTCTCCACTGTAAAGTTGCTATTTTCTCTATCATAACAAATAAGGATCTTGTAGTGAGTTGTAAATATTCTCACACCTTCACCCACTACTTGTAACGTCCATTAAAGATTCCTGCATAAACCAATTATTACCGTAACAGTTGTCAATGGTAGGGATTAGCCTCTCATAGGAGAAGACAACCACAGTATTACTAAATAAAAGTACATCAAGTAGGATGATGATAAGTGCTAGAGAGAAATAAAGCAGGGAATAGGAATAAAGTGTTGAAGGGTTCTAATTTTAAATAGGGTTATTAGAGAAGACCTCAGTGAGAAAATAACGATCTAAAAGGATAAGCAAAAGCTGGATGTGGTGGTGCACGCCTATGGTTCCAGATACTCTGGGGGCTGAGGTGGAAGCCCAGGAGTTAAAGGCCTTATTTTATGTGTTCTATTTTATTGAAAAATTTTAAAAATAAAATAAAAGGACATGTGGCTGACCCATCTGACGAAAGTCCAGGCAGAGCAAAGAGCTAGAGCCAAGGTCTCGAAGTAGAGCTCATCTGGAGTGTTCTAGAAATGGCAAGCGGCCAGAGGTGGGGCAGGAGTGGGGAGGTTGGGGGGGGCGGTAATAGAAGAACATGATATCAGAGAATTTATTATAAGAACTTTTTAGCTTTTATTCCAAGTAAGCTGGAAAGCCATTGAAATGTTTTAAACAAAGAAGTAACACGATGGACCTTTTTCCTACCCCACAGAGCAAGTTAAGCCTTGGCTCCCTCACTGATAAAGTGGGAGTAATGACAGCTACTCCTTCGTGTTGCAGTAGAGACTTACGGGAGATAACATATGGAAAGTGTTTAGCACAGGGCCTGGCAAGTAATAAGTGCTCAATAAATAACTTCTATTATTTTTGTTCTTATCTCAGGAAGTGACTCACCTGTTTTCCCAGGTTGGGGATGTGTGCAGGGCCCTGGTTTCATTTCTCCTGTGTGCTTGCTTAGCTGCCAGACTTCCTACTTTTCTCATTAACAAAATTCCTTGCTCAAGGCAACATAACACACAGCGGTTGTTAACTTTGTGGCCGGACCACGAACCTCCTGAAACTGAATGCAGTCTCATGTATATGTAGTTACATACATGGGGTGTGAGGCTGAGATTCTCAAAGTGCTCCATGACCCCAAAATGCTATAGAAGAAGCGGGGCTTAACTAGATTCTGGAGAAGAGGTTCTGGGAACAGCCCAGCAAATAGCTAACTTTCTGACCCTTCCGAAGTCATTTGACATTTGGTAACATCAGTTTCCATATCCGTCATGAGGAAGTTCTGTGAGATTACATTTAAGGTTACTTCTAGGTTAAGGATTCCGTGACTGGATGTTCTTGGCATTGATTAAATAAATGCATTGATAGAGAGTGTGTTTCTCTTCTTCCTCCTTCAAACAGCCCTCTACAATGGCTAGTAATTTCCAGGACTAAGGTGTGTAATTCAGGCTCTCTGCTTTGTTTCCCTTTTACATCTATGCAAACTTTTATGGGGCTGTTATCATGCAGCCCCTTTGATCTGCCTCTCCCTGCATAGACAGCCAAGAGAGCATCTCTTTGGCCCAGCACACGGCCACTGCAGGGGAGAAGAGGAAAGAAAGGAAATAGCTATTGATTGCACTCCTACTACATCCTAGAATATCGTGCTGACGTGTTTGCTCATTTACTACTCACGAACTCTTTGTGCTATAGGTATTATCTCTACTTTATAGATATGGAAACCAGGAATCAGAAACATTTAAGGTCACCAAACATATAAATGCTGGAATTTGGACTCAAGTTTATTCTGTCTGTCTCCAAAGGTCTGTTTTTTCCCATTTCTTTATCTTGCCTTCCAGAGTAGTTGTGTCTTCGGCCATGTACCACAATTCATTCACTCATTCATTCCATGAGTGATCTTGCAAATAGAGCTCATTACAAGACTTCTTTTTTAACAGCCTCCAAATGAAAAGGAGCACCAGTCTCCTTTACCCAGCCAGAATGGTGAATGCGGTGTTCTTATTTCAGGCACCCATTTCCTGAGAAGCTAATGCAGTCATGATGTTTATGTCCCTTCTTAACTTCAGCTTGGTATTAGCCTGTAGTTCATGTCCTCCTCTTTGAAAGAAGAATGGTTTTTCTCTATATTCTCTCTACATATGTATATATTATGAAACAGACTTAGAATTAGAGCATGTTTTCTGCAGATTTCCCTAGGTTTCACGCAAATAATAGTGAGATTTTTTTCCCCCTAAAAACTACCTTAGGTAAAAAACAGACAGACATACTAGAACAGAAAAGTGATTAGATCCATATTGAATGAGACTATTTAGTTCTTCCTTGAGGCATATCATGTGTATTTGACAAATGCTGCTTAAGTGAAGGTTTAAAAAATAAAAATTAAATAATGAGTTAAAGACTGAAAAAAATGAGTATGAGTTATAGGATTTTGGATTATTGTTGAGGGAATTATTAAGGCTACATGGTCTTCTATCTGAATATCCATTCCTCCATCTCATGAGGGTCACAACATTAGAAGATTTTTAACATTACTATTTATGTGTCCACCCTTTGTTCCACATTCTTGCTCTGTCAGATGAGAAATAGAAACACTTCAGCAATTAAAAAAAAACTTTTATGAAAAATAATCACTTACCATTTCACCACTTAGGCGTGCCGAACCCCTTACAAACTTGATCTGCTGTAGATCCCTCTCTTTCCCTCTTCCCTCTCTACCCACATTGCAAATTAGGAGTATCATTAAATTAACTTTTAAAAAAAATAACTGCTACCAAATGCTGGAGTTCAAAGTTTTTTCAGTAAGTCAAGAATACGCAGTCATAGCACCTGGTTGGCAGACTAGACCTCCCAGGATTACCCAGCACCTCTTGTGCAGAGCAGAAGTCCTTCCTGGGGCATCTGCCAGAGGGTCTTCAGGGACCCAACTGGACCCTTCCGGGGAGAGGGTCTTCAAAACTTTGCAAAATAGCCCATTCCATGGCTTTTTCTAGCACTATTCAGTCTCTTATTTTCACATCTCCTCATAATTTGTATATCCCTCCTTCACTCTGTACTTCCTTCCCTGTAGAACAAACGTGAGACATGTCAGTGAAAATGGCTAGAGGGATACAAGGTGGGGCCTGGTCTGGCACTACTCACAAACAGAAAAATTGGTGCATTAAACTTTAAAGGGAACCATTCCAGAAATGATAAGAGAGGATGGGGCTGCAGCTATAATCTGCACATCATTTGAAATGCTCTAATATTATGAATAGAGCACTGACTTGAGAAGGGAAAGACCAGGGTCTACCACCAATTTGTTGGGTGATTTTAGCAAGTCATTTAATTTCTCTGGCTTACCAGAAAAATGAGGGTAATGTCACAAACTTCTCATGATCAACAAGTGACATAAAATGTATATTTTAAAGTGGTTCAGAAAGCTACGCATTAGCAAAGAATGTATGACTATATATATAGGTTACATGTTGAGTTTTTAACAGGGATCTATATGCACTGATTGCCTGTGGTGTACATGTTTCCCTTATTGCATCCTTTGTCAACTAAAGTGAGATACCAAAAAAAAAAAAGCAATACATGCTTTATAAAAGGTGCTTAGTAAATTGGTGGGAATTCTTTGCTGACCTCTGAGTATAACAACAAATTCTCAAAGACATTTTTTTTTTTTTGGTGAGACAGAGTTTCACTCTGTTGCCCAGGCTGGAGTGCAGTGGCGCGATCTCGGCGCACTGGAACCTCTGCCTCCAGAGTTCAAGTGATTCTCCTGCCTCAGCCTCCCGAGTAACTGGGATTACAGGGGCCCACCATCATGCCCAGATAATTTTCACTTGAGCCCAGGATTCAGAGGTTGCAATGAGCCAAGATCATGCTACTGTACTCCAGCCTGGGCAACAGAGCAAGACCCTGTCTCAAAAAAAGATGAGGTTTCACCATGTTGGCCAGGCTGGTCTCAAATTACTGATCTCAAGTGATCCGCCTGCCTCGGACTCCCCAAGTGCTGGGATTACAGGCATAAGACACCGCACACGGCCCTCAAGGCATCTTTTATCCTTGGTACCCTTTCACAGACACAGGAGATATCCGTTAGTAAATGGAAGGCTAATGGTTTTCAATTGCCCTTCTAAACCAATCAATTGGTAATCAGCTTCCTGGAGCCTGGATTGAGAGAATGACCTCCTGATTGGGTAGGAAAGAATTCTGTGATTTGTTAGGATGTCTGCCACAGGTGGCTGTGTGAAGTGACAGTAAATGTGCCACATATCAACCATGACCATCTTAAATACACCATGACTTAAGGGCAACTAGATGTATATGTACAACAGGACACTTATTTCCCTAAGCCTGGATATCAGGTCCACTGTTACCAATAGTAACCAACTGAGATTTATACAAAATGTGACTGTGTATCATATCTAGTTATATGTTCCTATGTTCCTGTCAACACCACGGTATCTAGAATAATAATTCATTCTCCAAAGTGATGGGAAGCTATTTTAGTCTCTACAAATTAAGTGTGCAGTTCACCCAGTTATCCATCTTTGGCCATAGATGCCATAAGGCTCTCTGCATCTGTCAGCCATCTTTGGCACATCTATCTGCCACAGATGCCATAAGGCTCTATGCATCTCTTGGGATCAGAGTGGCAAACCACCTGTTCCTAATAAAGCATCTCTAAGACAGTTGCTGAAGTGATGGCCAGAGGCGCAACTCAGATTACCAATTATGATAGCATAAATTCTGTCATACCAGCTAAGTCTTTCTGGTGACTTTAACAAGGTTTTCAGAGCCTTAAGTGTGGTTGGAATTTGTAATAATAGTGATTCCTCCAGCTTTTCTGACTCAAATCTGTGGTAGGATCCAGGCTTCTGAATTTTAATAAGGACTACAAGTATTTCTGAAGCAGGTGGTCCTCCTACTATGAGACAAGTACGTTTCCCTGTAGGTGGTAATTGAATGAGCTCTAGTCCAATAATATAGATATGGACCATACTTAGCGGCTGCAGGTAGAGCTCCTGAATTAATGAGACAAGGAATCGACATTCTGAACTAAAGTACTATGTGTTTCCTGCCCTCTTCTTTCCACTTTATTTTTTCTTTTCTATTTCTGCCCTAGTTCCTGCATTCTGGCAACTGGTACTCTCTACAGGGACACAGCCTCTATTCAGTCTTGGGAGCAGAGCATTTCTCATTATTACAAGTAACTTAGAATTTCCAGCAATTCTAGTTCCCTGTTCATCTCTCTAATTTTCTCCATCCTCTCCAGAATGTTAAGGTTTTCATAGGTCATTTCCACTACAGCAGCTGGTTTTTGCTCTGGAATTTTTAGGTCTTCTCTTAGGGAAGATGTTTCAACATCTTCCAGTGAAGAACACCCTTCAAATGACTTCCAAGTAATGTCACTGTAATCCTAAATTCTGATGCAATTCCCCCTCAAATCTTGTCTTTGGTTGGGTACAGTGGCTCACACCTATAATCCCAGCACAAGTCAGGAGGATTGCTTGAATCCAAGAGTTTGAAACCAGCCTGGGCAACATAGTGAGACTCTGTGTATGAGTCCGCTCTCATGCTATTATGAAGAAATACTCAAGACTGGGTAATTTATAAAGAAAAGAGATTTAATTGACTCACAGTTCCACATGGCTGGGGAGGCCTCAGGAAACTTACAGCCCTGGTGGAAGGCACGTCTTCACTGGGTGGCAGTAGAGAGAATGAGAGCCAAGCAAAGGGGGAAGCCCCTTATAAAACCATCAGATCTTGTGAGAATTCACTCACTATCATGAAAACAGTATGGGGAAAACCGCCCCCATAATTCAATTATCTCCACCTGGTCCCACCCTTGACGCGTGGGGCTTATTACAATTCAAGGTGAGATTTGGGTGGGGACACAGAGCCAAACCATATTACCCTGTTTCAACAACAAAAAAATTTTTTTTAATTAGCAAGTGTAGTAGCGCACGCCTGTGGTCCTAGCTACTCAGGAGGCTGAGGTGGGAAGGTCACTGGAGCCCAGGATGTCAAGGCTGCGGTGAGCTCTGATAGAACCACTGCATTCCAGCCTGGGTGACAAAGTGAGACCCTGTCTCAAACAAACAAAAATCTTATATTTTTTTTATGTCTTTCTTCTCTGGCTCTTGTGTAACATCTGCTTCAGTGGTGGCAGAAATAGTCCATGCTGCACAGATTCCCATGCAGCGCAGGTGCTGCCTGACTCACTCCTGGTATTCAACTCCTCTACTCTTTGATTTTCCACACAGGATCAGGACTAAGTGTGTATGTGTGTGTTTGTTTTTTTAAATTCAACCTGTTTACTAAACTAGTTTAGTTCCTCCTGTATCATATGCAAAGCTAAGCCACTGGCTAAATCACATTTTTCTTCATTTTCTTTCCTTTTTCCATAGTTCATGTATTGACCGCCACATCAAAACCTATTATTATAAAGCTGAAAAACTGAACTGAAACTATTTCTCCATTATTTTCTGTGATTTTTTTGTGTGTTAAAGCCTAAGCAATAATTTTGGAATTTAAAGAGATAAATAGCATTTGAATTAGGTAATTTATGACTATAGTTGGTTTTAAAAGCCTAATGAGACCAGAATGGATGAAAGAAAGAAAAATTTCCTACACATCTATAGGGAAATATCCAAGTATCAACAGGGGACATAAAATTATGTGTTGTATTTTGTTCCCCTAAATATTCAAAAAATTAAGAAATTATTTTTATTATTATTATTATTTTTTCTGAGACGGAGTCTCCCAGGCTGGAATGCAGTAGTGTGATCTCAGCTCACTTATAGCCTCCGCCTCCCAGGTTCAAGCAATTCTCCGCCTCAGCCTCCTGAGTAGCTGGGATTACAGGTGCCCACCACCACGCCCAGCTAATTTTTGTATTTTTAGTAGAGATGGGGTTTCACCATGTTGGTCAGTCTGGTCTCAAACTCCTGACCTCAAGTGATCCGCCTGCCTCAGCCTCCCAAAGTGCTGGGATTACAGATGTGAGCCACCCCACCCAGCAGCGCAGCAGATTTTATAGGCAGGCTTGAGGAGGCAGTGTCTGATTTACTAGGGCCCACAGATTTGTTTGACCAGCTGTGATGTTTACATGGTGTATGGGAAGGCTGGTCACCCCACCCTAATCTTATTATGCAAATGGGCCTTCCACTTGGCCAGTACCATCTTGCCTGCTCCTTACTGTACCCATGGCTGGCAAAAATAAAAGATGGAGCCACCATTTTGAACGTGACTAGTCCCAGGTAGTATATTACTTTTGGCACAACTGCTGGCATTTGCCTGTGCAAGCTTCCAGCTTGCTTGTCTATGTCTGTAGCTTGATTTTATAGGCTGCCTCGATAAGGAAAACCTTATCGAGGACTCCCATACCCTCACTATCTGCCTAAGTAATTTCTTCTTAACTCCTGTATCACTGGCAATATTAAATTTCTTTAGCAGGCTGGGTGCGGTGCCTCACACCAGTAATCCCAGCGCTTTGGGAGTCCAAGGTGAGCAGATCACTTGAGGTCAGGAGTTCAAGACCATCCTGGCCAATATGGTGAAACCCCATCTCTACTAAAAATAGAAAAATTAGCCAGGTGTGGTGGTGGGCACCCGTAATCCCAGCTACTCGGGAGGCTGAGGCAGGAGAATTGCTTGAACCCAGGAGGCAGAGGCTACAGTGAGCTGAAATCACGCCACTACATTCCAGCCTGGGAGACAGAGCAAGGCTCTGTCTCAAAACAAAAAAACAAAAAAACAAAAAAAAAAAACAAAAAACAAAAAAAATTCTTTAACGGAGTTGTGGTGTTAGAGAAAACTCTCAAACCATTTTTACTATTCTCTCATTCAACCCGACAATCATCAACCCAGAAGACTTCTGTGACCAAATGTCAGAGGGTGGGTTTCTTCCCACCACCAAGCAAACAATCAGTTATGCAGTGGACACAAGCTGGGTGTCCTCTGTGAAATTAGTGAAAGGCTACGAAATTAGGATTGAGGGAGGGGCCTGAATTCTGTTAAAATGTAGGCATAGGAGGCCGGGCGCAGTGGCTCACACCTGTAATCCCAGCACTTTGGCAGGCCAAGGTGGGCGGATCACAAAGTCAGGAGATTGAGACCATCCTGGCGAACATGGTGAAACCAAGTCTCTACTAAAAATATAAAAAAAGTAGCCAGGCGTGGTGGCAGGTGCCTGTAGTCCCAGCATATATATATGTTGCTTGAGGTAACACTTTTTCCTTATTTTAAAACAGAAACCAATTTCACCTCCAACGTAGTGTGTTGGCTAGTTCACTGCTGGTTCCCCAAGGCATATAGTAGACACTTAATAAACATTTGTCAATGAACAAATGAATAAATGAGTTCTTCTAGTCCTTAGTGGGGCTCAGAATTTGAAGCTGGTAGAACACAAGGAATACATTTGCCCACAGGATTTAGAAAAGGCCAAGAATGGCAATTCTTATAATAGTGATCTTGATGGGAGTACTAACTAAGCTTGGTTTACATGAACGTGTAGCCTCATTCATGATATGCTAAGGTGTTATTTGTGAACAGTCATGGGATAAAATTGTTCTTGAATGTTGAACTAGTGTTCCTGTCATTTCTATATGTAACAGGAAGAAAATACTTCCATGTCCCAACTCCTGGGGGATTGCCTTGACAAGGAGTTGGTGACTTTACAGCTTTGCCTCTTAATTTAGAGAATAGTATGAGGGTGAGGTCACACTATATCACTACGGGTTGATTTTTTCTAAAACTCTTTTCTTGTCTTCCTCTACACTTCCTTGTTGATCTCATTCATTACCATGAATTCAAGCACCATTTTTGTGCCAATGAACCCTAAATCTGTATTTTCACTCCCAATCTCTCCTTTGACTGAAAAACTCTTTTTTCTTTTTTTGAGACAGGGTCTTGCTCTGTTGCCCAGGCTGGAGTACAGTAGCATGACCTTGGCTCATTGCAACCTCTGAATCCTGGGCTCAAGTGATCCTCCCACCTCAGCCTCCCAAGTATCTGGGACCAGAGACATGCAACACCATGCCTGGCTAACTTTTGTATTTTTTGTAAAGATGGAGTGTTACCATGTTGCTCAGGCTAGTCTTCAACTCCTGGGCTCAAGTGAATCTCCCGCCTCAACCTCCCAAAGTGTGATTATAGGCATGAGCCACTGCACCCGGCCAACTGATGAACTCTTGGCATCTGTTTTCTCTACATTTTCTCCTGGAGGTTTTAGGCACCTCACACTTAACAAGTTGAAAAACAGCTTTAGATTTTCTCAACACCTATTCTTCCACCCAGATCTGATCTTCCCCATTTTGTTTTCTGGCTCCACCCTCCACCTGGCTGCTGAAGCTAGAAAACAAGAAGTAATCCTGAATTTCTTCCTATCCCCTAATCTAACTCATTTGCATAAAGCTTTTCTTGATTGCGCGTCTCAGAGTTTGGACTCATGTACTCTTGAAGGCTGGAGACATTTTAAGAAAATGGCTACCTGTTGGCTGGGCACAGCGGCTCACACCTGTAATCCCAGCACTTTTGGAAGGCCGAGGCGGGCAGATCACGAGGTCAGGAGATCGAGACCATCCTGGCTAACACGGTGAAACCCCGTCTCTAATAAAAATACAAAAAATTAGCGGGGTGTGGTGGCGGGCGCCTGTAGTCCCAGCTACTCAGGAGGCTGAGGCAGGAGAATAGCGTGAACCCGGGAGGCGGAGCTTGCAGTGAGCTGAGATGGTGCCACTGTACTCCAGCCTGGTGACAGAGTGAGACTCATCTCAAAAAAAAGAAAAGAAAATGCCTATCTGTTTACTGCTAGAAATTTATATCTTTTTCTCTGAGTGAAAATTGGGAATTCCTGTAGAAGATTCTTCTTTTCTGGGAAAAAAGAATTTTGTTTTCAGTTTTTCAAAAAAGCTGTCTTGTTTTGAACTAATCACCTGATGTTTTAAAAGCATATCTTCAATCTGAATGAAAGTTTAGAGTTCACGGGAGCAGATAACTAACTTGGTTTTATTTTATTTTATTTTATTTTATTTATTTATTTTTTGAGATGGAGTCTCGCTCTGTCCCCCAGGCTGGAGTGCAGCGGCACGGTCTCAACTCACTGCAAGCTCCACATCCCGGGTTCATGCCATTCTCCTGCCTCAGCCTCCTGAGTAGCTGGGACTACAGGCGCCCGCCACCACGCCCGGCTAATTTTTTGTGTTTTTTAGTACAGATAGGGTTTCACCGTGTTAGCCAGGATGGTCTCGATCTCCTGACCTCGTGATCCGCCTGCCTCGGCCTCCCAAAGTGCTGGGATTACAGGCGTGAGCCACAGCGCCCGGCCTTATTTTATTTTTTGAGATGGAGTCTCACGCTGTTGCCCAGGCTGGAGGGCAGTGGTGCAATCTCGGCTCACTGCAACATCCTCTCCCAGGTTCAAGTGATTCTTCTGTCTCAGTCTTCCGAGTAGCTGGGATTACAGGCACGCGTCACCATACCCGGTTCATTTTTGTATCTTTTTTTTTTTTTTTTTTAATTGAGCCTTGCTCTGTCGCCAGGCTGGAGTGCGGTGGTGCAATCTCGGCTCACTGCAACCTCCGCCTGCCAGGTTCAAGTGATTCTCCTGCCTCATCCTCCCCAGTAGCTGGGACTATAAGTGCCCGCCCCCACACCCAGCTAATTTTTTGTATTTTTAGTAGACAGGGTTTCACCATGTTGGCCCAGATGGTCTCCATCTCTTGACCTCGTGATCCACCTGCCTAGGCCCCCCAACAGGCGTGAGCCACTGTGCCCAGTCTCATTTTTGTATTTTTAGTAGAGATGGGGTTTTGCCATGCTGTCCAGGCTGGTTTCCAATTCCTGACCTCAAGTGATCTGCTCCCGTTGGCCTCCCAAAGTGCTGGGATTACAGGCGTGAGCCACCGTGCCTGGCCTCTAACTTGGTTTTAGATGACAATTATTAACAGTTGTGTCTCAGCCTGAACAAACAAAACCATAAGCTCTCTCCTCCAGCAGCCATTCCTGAGTCTACAGGCCAGACTGAAAAGACCTGATAAACACTGTCTCCTGAAAGACAGCAGATTGGGGGTAAAACAGAGGATAAAGGAGCATAAAAGAATAATCATTTAGGGGAAAGGGTATTGGTTTCTGTTCTTCAAATTTAAAACTGGAGATCCATCAGCCTCAGCATCTCAGATTAACACATCTGCTCTGTTCCGTTTCAATCAATAAAAACAAAAAGATGAACAATGAGACATTTTTGGTCATACAAATGTAAGATCAGTCTCTGTCCCCCACTTCCTATCTTTGGGAACTTTCTGGACTTTATGAAGTTGTCCAAAGGCAATTACATCAGATTAGAATATTAAATATACTGTTTAATAATCTAGAAGTCTGTCCCCTGCTGGTGGTGTGGGAGCTTGGTGAGCAGGGGAAGGAGTACAGCAGGGAGATGTTTTTCATGAGATGCCATGAGGAGGAGGAAAAGACTAAAACTGCCTTTGCAAAGATTATGACAGCGAGAGAAGTCTAGCATGGCTGACTGCATCTTGCTTCTAGTCTCACTAGGTGACTGTCCTCACTCATTCCCTGGCATACACCAAGCTAACCACAGGAGGAATTTAGTTTATAGTTTAACTTTGAAGCAAGGATAACAGTCTCTCCCTAAAACTAGCCCCCTCCTTTCTCAGGGACTAAGACCACCTTTGTAAGACTAATGAAAAGCCACAAGATTAGAATTATGGGAGGGACTTGAATTTTGCTAAAACGTAGGCATGGTTAAAGAATAACCAGCCCTTGTTTTTCTATAATCCCTTACTGCTCGGAAGTCATGAAGCCAGAGTTCACAAGACTTGTGGCTGCCCAAATTGCTCCTACGGATAACATCACTGGCTGACCCCACCTGGACCCATGACTCATGACTCAGCTAGTACTGTGGCCTCCACCCAAAGGCAGACTTAACACATGAGGACTGTTTTCCACATCCCTATGATTCCATCCTCAACCAGTCAGCAGCACCCATTCCCTAGCTCCCTACCTGACAAATTATACATTAAAACCCTTGCCTCTAAGCTCTTGGGGAGGCTGATTTGAGTAATAAACTCTCATTGGTTGCTTGGCTAGCCATGTGTTAATTAGACTCTTTCTCTACTGCAATAGTGGTGTCTCAGTGCATTGGTTTTATCTGTGCAGTAGGCAAGAAGAACCTGATGGGTGATTACAAAAGGAGGAGGAATTCTGGAGGTCCTGAACCTGGGAGAGGACAGAAGAGGGAAGAAATGCTTTAAGGGAAGTATGGGGTTCCTGGGTGCTGGCTTTTATTTTTCTCCACTAAACAGTGCTGTAGGGAGGCTTATTTCTGAAAACAAGGACATGCCATTGAACGACTTATTTGTAAATGTCCTTGCTCATTCTTAAGCTCATACTATGTGCCGTGTGGCTTTGAAGGCAGGCACCTCACTGCTTGGTGTTTCTGCTGAAATCACATGGTCACCCACTGTCTATGAACACGGCCCCTAAACCCTGTCATTCTGCTGCCAGGCCCTCTCTGTGGGCTGTGGCTTTGTAAGGGAAGAGGCAGTCACGATTCTCCTCCAGATGCAAATATTCAGCCCTCACTCTGACATGTTTCACAGTTTAATTTCTTTCTCTACTATCACTGGGTCAAAATTCTTGAAACAAACAAAAGGATATAACCTGACAAATTATTTTGCAGACAAAGTCCACCATGCTGCCAGGCTTTGCTGCTTCCTGAAAATACTGTTTTTTGCTTGCTTTTCTTCCAAATGATAAGCAGATCTCAGATTACATATGTGGCTTTGCTATTATTGTCTTCTTTTCCCTCTTGACAAATGAGAAGTTCAATGCTCATTGAAGCTCTTTGTAAAGCTGTGCTATAAGAACTGGCATTATGGAGTACAGGTCTTTTCCCTGTTCACAGTGTTTGTGACCAAACTCAGGTGAGCTTTTAGGCCCAAGAGATTACTGATGCTTAGTGGATTACACTTTGCATTTAACAAACCCTGTTCCTACACCAGTATATCATCTCTTTTAACAAAATCTAGGAAATAGTAGGAAGGCCGTATTTCCACTTTTTTTTTTTAAGAGACAAGGTCTTGCTCTGTCACCCAGGCTGGGGTGCATAGTTTACTGCAGCCTCAAACTCCTGGGCTCAAGCAATTCTTCTGCCTCAGCCTCCCAAGTAGCTGGGACTACAGGTGCATGTCACCATGCCTGGCTAATTAAATAAAAAGTATTTTTTTGTGCAGAGGGAATCTTGCCACGTTGCCCAGGCTGGTCTGAAACTCCTGGCCTCAAGTGATCCTCCTACCTTGGCCTCCAAAAGTGTTAAGATTACAGGTGTGAGCCATTGCACCAGCCCTTATCTCCACTTTAGTGGTGAGGAATCTGCAGCTGAGAAAGGCCAAGCAATATGCTTGACTTCACACACTGGCAAGGGGATTGGTGAGGCGTGAATTCCTCTCCAGGCTCTTCTGCCTTTGCCAGCCCCTGCCTATGGGGCCACCCTCGGCTCTGACCATGGCCCCTGCTCTCCACACTCTCACACTGCTCCTGAGCAATCTCATCCTCTTACAGTTTTAACTGTCAGCTGGATGCTGATGATTTCGAAATGTATATCTCCATCCCAGACCATTCTGAGCTCCTGTGTTCAAATTTCAGCTAAATGTCTCTACTTGGGTGTCTCATGGGCGTCTCAAACTCAACATGTCCCCAAGCAAACTCTGAGTTATGTGTTGCACTCAAGCTTTCTCCTCCTCCTATATCATTTCCTCTCCTCCTTCCCTTCCTCTCTCTCACTCTCTCACTTCATTTTTATTTCTGAGAATTTGGGGTTTTTCTGCCTGATTACTCTTCTTAGTTTCAATTTCAGGACTTTAATAGATGAGAACATATGGAATTTTTGTTTAAGAATGGTAGAAAGTGGATGGGTGCGGTGGCTCACACCTGTAATCCCAGCACTTCGGGAGGCCAAAGTGGGCGGATCACAAGGTCAGGAGATCGAGACCATCCTGGCTAACACAGTGAAACCCCATCTCTAATAAAAACAGAAAAAATTAGCCGGGCGTGGTTGTGGGTGCCTGTAGTCCCAACTACTCGGGAGGCTGAGGCAACAGAATGGCGTGAACCTGGGAGGCGGAGCTTGCAGTGAGCCGAGATCATGCCACTGCACTCCAGCCTGGGCAACAGAGCAAGACTCCATCTCAAAAAAATAAATAAATAAAAGAATGGCAGGAAGTAAAAACATCCATTTGAGGAAAAACGAAGCAATCAGAACTTTAAAGACTAGATATTACAACTCTGAAACACTTAACAAAAAGTAAATTCACCATGAAAGTACTAATTTGTCATTTGAATACAAAATGTTTATCACTATAAACTAAGGGGAAATGACTAAATTTATATGTATGTGTGTCCTCTGTAGATATGTCCTGTTCTCTGACACCTGTGGGAAGTAATTGTCCACTGTTTAGCAGAAATTCTGATTTGCCTCATTTTTTCATTTCTCTCTTACCAAAAATAACTCTTTTTGTTCCTGTTGTTTTCTCCTGACATTTACTTTTTAGGGTCTAGCTTTATCCAGATCTGAAAATCCAGACAATCCATTTACTTCTGTCTGTATCAGGAAACAGAGGCCTGGGTCTAGAGACAGGGTCTTGGTGAGGGAAGGACTCAAAACCATGGGATACAGCATGACCGGGCAGCACCACAGCTGTGGAAGGTGAGAAAGTTTGGCAGCATATGAGTCAAGGCATATGGATCTACATAGAGAGGAAAAGTATCCTGTCCTTGGGTAGGAGAGCTGGGTTGGGCATTAGTTGGTAGTTTTGTGTTTACTGATCTCATCTTGTTAAAACCATTTCATGATGGTTGTAGATTCTGGGGACCCAGAGTGTGAAGGGCCTGGAGAAGTGGTGATATGGTTTGGCTGTGTCCCCACCCAAATCTCATCTTGAGTTTAACTCTCACAGTTCCCACGTGTCATGCGAGGAACCCAGTGGGAGGTGATTGAATTTTGGGGACAGGTCTTTCCTGCACTGTTCTTGTGATAGTGAATGAGTCCCCCAAGATCTGATGGTTTTAAAAATGGGAGTTTCTCTGCACAAGTCCTCCCTTTGCCTGCTGCCATCCACATAAGATATGACTTGCCTTCCACCATAATTGTGAAGCTTCCTGAGCAACGTGGAACTGTGAGTTCTCCATTAAACTTCTTTCTTTGTAAATTGCCCAGTCTCGGGTATGTCTTTATCAGCAGCTTGAAAATGAACTAATACAGTAAATTGGTACCAGTAGAGTCAGGTGTTGCTGAAAAGATACCTGAAAATGTGGAAGCAACTTTGGAATGGGGTAACAGGCAGAGGTTGGAACAGTTTGGAGGGCTCAGAAGAAGACAAGAAAATGTGGGAAATTTTGGAACTTCCTAGAGATTTGTTGAATGGCTTTGACAAAAATGCCAATAGTGATATGAACAATAAAGTCCAGGCTGAGATGGTCTCAGATGGAGATGAGGAACTTGTTGGGAACTGGAGCAAAGGTGACTCTTCTTATGTTTTAGCAAAGAGACTGGTGGCATTTTGCCCCTGCCCTAGAGATTTGTGGAATTTTGAACTTGAGAGAGATGATTTAGGGTATCTAGCGGAAGAAATTTCTAAGCAGCAAAGCATTCAAGAGGTGACTTGGGTGCTGTTAAAGGCATTTAGTTTTATAAGGGAAACAGAGCATAAAAGTTTGGAAAATTTGCAGCCTGACAATGCAATAGAAAAGAAAAACCCTTTTTCTGAGGAGAAATTCAAGCCAGCTGCAGAAATTTGCATAAGTAATGAGGCGTCGGATGTTAATACCCAAGACAACAGGGAAAATGTCTCCAGGTCATGTCAGAGGTTTTCACGGCAGCCCCTCCCATCACAGGCCCAGAGGCCTAGGAGGAAAAAGCAGTTTCATGGGCTGGGCCCAGGGTCCCCATGCTGTGTGCAGCCTAGGGACTTGGTGCCCTGAGGCCCAGCTGCTCCAGCCATGGCTAAAAGGGGCCAACACAGAGCTCAGGCCGTGGCTTCAGAGGGTGCAAGCCTCAAGCTTTGGCAGCTTCCACGTGGTGTTGAGTCTGTGAGTACACAGATGTCAAGAATTGAGGTTTGGGAACCTCCACCTAGATTTCAGAAGATGTATGGAAATGCCTGGATGTCCAAGCAGAGGTCTGCTGCAAGGGCAGGGCTCTTGTGGAGAACCCTTCTGCTAGTGTGGAAGGGAAATGTGGGATTGGAGCTCCCACACAGAGTCCCTACTTGGACACTGCCTAGTGAAGCTGTGAGAAGAGGGCCACCATCCTCCGGAGCCCAGAATGGTAGATCCACTGACAGCTTACACTGTCCACTTGGAAAAGCTGCAAACACTCAACACCAGCCCGTGAAAGCATCTGGGAGGGAGGCGAAAGCATCTAGGAGGGAGGCTGTAACAGGGGCTGAACTGCCCAAGACCATGGGAACCCCCGTCTTGCATCAGTGTGACCTGGATATGAGACATGAAGTCAAAGGAGATCATTTTGGAGCTTTAAGGTTTGCCTGCCCTGCTGGATTTCGGACTTGTATGGCCCCGGTAGCCCCTTTGTTTTGGCCAATTTCTCCCATTTGCAATGGCTGTATTTACCCAATGCCTGTACTCCCATCGTATCTAGGAAGTAACTAATTTGCTTTTTATTTTACAATCTTTCCAGCTCATAGGCAGAAGGGATTTGCTTTGTTTCAGATGAGATGTTGGACTGTGGGCTTTTGAGTTAATGGTGAAATGAGTTAAGACTTTGGGGGGACTGTTAGGAAGGCACGATTGGTTTTGAAATGTGAGGACATGAGATTTTGGAGGGCCAGGAGCAACATGATATGGTTTGGCTCCGTCCCCAGCCAAATCTCACGTTGAATTATAACTCCCACAATCCCCACATGTCATGGGAGGAACCCAGTGGGAGGTGATTGAATTATGGGGATGGGTCTTTCCTGCACAGTCCTCATGATAGTGAATGAGTCTCACAAGATCTGATGGTTTTAAAAACAGGAGTTTCCCTGCACAAGTTCTCTTCTGTTGTCTGCCTCCATGTGAGACATGCCTTTCACCTTCTGCCATGATTGTGAGGCTTCCCCAGCCACATGGAACTGTAAGTCCAATAAACCTCTTTCTTTTGTAAATTGCCCAGTCTTAGGTATGTCTTTATCAGCAGCATGAAAACAGACTAATACAAGTGGGCAGAACTGAATAACAAACAGAGAAAGAGGAGTGGGGGGTCCTCCACCATACAGGGATTGTATCAACTTCTGAATCAAGGTGAAGGTAAACTGCAACAGGTCATAGTCCTTAGACCCCAGGACTAAGAAGAAAATAAAAAAACTATGCTTACAACACTCTAGTTCTAGGTACCAGGGTTTTTAGTGCTGGGAAATGCCAGTGAAAACATATGAAAACTTTCAAAACTAAGCCCAATCAGTGGCTCAGGGGCAAGAGGGTTGATATAAGAACATTTTGTCATCTGTTTTCCAAGAGTTAGAACAAGCGACTAGGGGGAAAAACCTTGGCTGTGTCATATTAAGAATATCATGGCCAGGCACAGTAGCTCACACTTGTAATTTTGGGAGGCTGAGGCAGGTGGATCACCTGAGGTCAGGAGTTCAAGACCAGCCTGGCCAACATGGTGAAACCTCATCTGTACTAAAAATACAAAAAATTAGCCAGGCCTGGAGGCGGGTGCCTATAATCCTAGCTACTCAGGAGGCTGAGGCAGGAGAATTGCTTGAACCTGGGAGGAGGAGGTTGCAGTGAGCTGAGATCATGCCATTTCACTCCAACCTGGGTGACAGAGAGAGACTCTGTCTCAAAAAAAAAAAAAATCTGCTGCAGTGCGCCACTTTTCCCTTTTCGGACACCTCTCTCACGAGAGAGAGGGGGCTGCTCTCCTCTATCCTTTCTTCTGCCTATTAAACTTTCCACTCCTTAGCACATTCCGTGTGTGTGTCTGTGTTGTTAATCTTCTACGGGCGAGATGACGAATCCCAGGTATTTACCCCAGACAACGGTGCTGCTTCACTATGACAGGAAATGTCCTCTCCATAGGGCATAGACCAAGTAAACGACTTTGTAACTTTCCTTCAATCTCTTCATTTACATAGAGCGTACACCAAGCAACCAATGGAATCCTCTAGATGGTATTTAAACTCCCAAAAATTCTGTAATGGGGCCCTTGAGCCTCTATGCTCAGGACCGCTCCCACACTATGGAGTGTACTTTCATTTTCAATAAATTTCTTCATTCTTTCCTTGCCTTGTGTGTGCATTTTGTCCAATTCTTTGTTTAGGATCCAAGAACCTGGACACCCTCCACTGGTAACACCAGTACCGATGACACCCTGGAGCGCCCTGCCCTGATCCCATCCTCTCTTTCAGAGGCAATCTGAATTTTGCACTACAATTTCCTTGATTTTCCTTACAGTTTCACCACATATGCAGGTATTGCTGACCAACATACTTTTGATTTAAAAGTATATGTTATCATATAACATGTATTCATTATATGGAATTTCTATAAACATCATCAAATACCATATGTTTTCCTCTGACTTGCTTTTTTCCACTCATTGTTACATTTTTGAGCTCACCCATATTGATCCGGAAAGCTAAAGTTCATTCACTTTCACTACAATATAATATTATTTGTCTGATATTAATATAGCCACAGCAACTTACTTTCAGTTCATTCCCTGGTAGACCATTATCCATCTTTTGACCTACTAAGGTTCTATGTAGTATGCTGGGGCAAATCTTGATAAGAACATACAGCTAGATGTATTTGTTCACTTTTAAAATCTGATATGGCAATTTTTGTGTTTTAACTGAGGTATTTAATGTGCTTGCTGTTACGTTTGGGGAGAAAAATCTGCCATCTTATTTTGTGCTTTCTATTTATTTCTTTTTCTATTTCTCTGTCTTTCCCCTCTTCTTTCTTGACTTCTTTAGACTTGATTGAGTCCCCACTTCTAGTTCACCCCACAGATAGGAAATTTTCAAAACACAGAATTTTAAATGTAATCAAACCATAAAATGAAATGGAAAAATAGAAATATGTTCAGACACAGAAGGACTCAGAAAATGTACTTCTCACTCCCACCCCATCTTAGGAGGTCACATTCATATGTCACCCAGCCAAATGAGAGAATAAGCCAATGAAAGAGGATGTCTAGAAATCTATATAACCCCAGGAAACAATAAAGAAAAGTTTCAGATGGACAGAAGCACAGCAAGTCTAGAGAAGAATCCATCCAAATTGGAGCAAGAGGGTAGAGGTTTCAGGGAGAAGCTACGCAGGGAAAACAATTCCAAAGATTTGCAACTAGCATTGAGGAAATGATTAAGATAGGTAAGGTAAGGAAACAAAGAAAAAGGATCTGAAACTTCAGAAGAAAAAAAATGTCCTGACCTCATCAGTTAACTTTATTGTTATTTATTATTAATCTTATTTTATGAGCTGTGAAGCAACTTGCCCAAGGTTAATGCTTCCTCACAGGGCTATTGTTGAAGATTGAGTTAGTTAACAGAGTAATTAGAAGAGTGTCCCACAATTAATAAAGGCTACATAAGTATTTATCAAATAGATGATGGGAAATGAAGCTTGGGTCTGCCCTTAGCAATAGTCACATAGTCACAATAATGTTACTATTGCTTTTTAAACTAAATTCAGCCATGAGGCAAAGTACAAATGACTTAATTATGGTTACAGAATGAGATGTAAAGTTTTATCAACTTTGAAAATATATAAAAGCTTTGAATATATAATATAAAATATCAAAAACACAGATGACAGAAGTTGGGCAGTAGAAATGAGGGTAAGAGAAGGAAGGGAAGGTAAGGACACTGCTCACCTCCTAAAATGGGAAGCCAAGGGATACTGTCTAAAGTAGAAGAAGCCAAGGATAAAGGTCCAGTCAGGTATTTAAAGTTATAAGGGAATTGGGTGGAGTGCAGTGACTCACGTCTGCAATCCCAGCACTTTGGGAGGCCGAGGTGGGCAGATCACTTGAGGTCAGGAGTCTGAGACCAGCCTGGCTAACATGGTGAAACCCCGTCTCTACTAAAAATACAAAAACTAGCCAGGTGTGGTGGCGCACGCCTGTAGTCCCAGCTACTCAGGAGGCTGAGGCAGGAGAATTGCTTGAACTCAGGAGGTAGAGGTTGCAGTGAGCCGAGATTGCGCCACTGCACTCCAGCCTGGGTGACAAAGCGAGATTCCATCTCAAAAATAAATAAATAATAAAATAAAATGAAGCTATAAGGGAATTAAAGTAGGAATTAAAAATAGTGCTGTAGTTTTATTGGGGGGGAGAAGGGTGACTCTGTAAATGAGCTTAATCTTCCTCTATCATGCAGAAAGTCATAGTTAACATCTAAAATTATTAACCAAGACATAAGAGTATAATATGTTATTCAGAGACATGAAGATAAATCCCAGAAAAACTAAAAAAAGAAACAGAAACAATTAAAAGAATTAAAAGTAGTTCCCTCTATGTAGCAGGATTGAGACCATGGAAAAGTAGGGGAGGAGACTGCTGCTTTTCATTATAAATCCTTCTTTATTATTTGAAAATATTTAATCATTTATATGTACTACTTTAAAGAAAAATGAAAACTTTTTTTTTCTGAGATATGGTCTTGCTCTGTCTTCCAGACTGGAGTGCAGTAGCATGATTTTAGCTCACTGCAACCTCTGCCTCCTGGGCTCAGGTGATCCTCCTACCTTAGCCTCCTGAGTAGCTAGGATCACAGGCGTGCACCACTATGCCTGGCTAATTTATTATTATTATTATTTGTAGATATGAGGTGTCCCTATGTTGCCCAGGCTGGTCTTAAACTCCTGAACTCAAGCAATCCTCCCACCTAGGCCTCCCAAAATGTTGGGATTACAGGCGTTAGCCACAACACCTGGCCTAAATCTTGCAATTTTTAAGTTTTTAAGTAGTTACTATAATTTACCATCATTCGTATCCTAAATTGTTTTCAACTTTTTTTTTTTTTTTTTTTTTTTTTTTTTGAGATGGAGTCTCACTCTGTCGCCCAGACTAGAGTACAGTGGCGCAATCTCGGCTCACTGCAAGCTCCGCCTCCCGGGTTCACGCGGTTCTCCTGCCTCAGCCTTCTGAGTAGCTGGGACTACAGACGCCTGCCACCACACCCGGCTAATTTTTTTGTATTTTTAGTAGAGACGGGGTTTCACCGTGTTAGCCAGGATGGTCTCGATCTCCTGACCTTGTGATCCGCCCGCCCGCAGCCACCCAAAGTGCTGGGATTACAGGTGTGAGCCACCGCGCCCGGCCTTGTTTTCAACTTTAAATAAAGATTAAATTTCTCCATGATATTGTAGAGAAAAGGCTAGAATGTTGAACAAATATTTTTAAGTTTTAAGGTGTATCAAATTACTAGCTTCCGTAGGGAGCCTTTAAGCCTTGGTCTCTCGTTGTTTTAATTATACTGTTCTTTTTTTTTTTTTTTTTTTTTTTTTTTTTTTTTTTTTTTGAGACGGAGTCTCGCTCTGTCACCCAGGCTGGAGTGCAGTGGCGGGATCTCGGCTCACTGCAAGCTCCGCCTCCCGGGTTCACGCCATTCTCCTGCCTCAGCCTCCCAAGTAGCTGGGACTACAGGCGCCCGCCACCACGCCCGACCAATTTTTTGTATTTTTAGTAGAGACGGGGTTTCACCGTTTTAGCCGGGATGGTCTCGATCTCCTGACCTCGTGATCCGCCCGCCTCGGCCTCCCAAAGTGCTGGGATTACAGGCGTGAGTATACTGTTCTTTTTTTTCCCTTGGTCAAGAATTGGCAGGTTTGCACAATAATTAAAGTTTTCAAAAGCCTCTGGAAACTTCCATCATAGTTACATTTTCTCATATACACCTTGGTTTCCTTTCCTGGTTGGGGTGGGAAGGAAGGTAAGAAGAATCAGGAGGCTTCCTTGATATTGAAGAGGAGGTTCAAGATCTCTGGAGGGTCCAGGGTCCAATAACAGAACCGAGTCCAACAGTATCAGTGGTATGATGTCAGTCAAGTTATTAACACATAGCTAAGATCCCAGGTTCCTACTAAGCCAATGGACAAGGACCAAGGGACACTCTGGGGCAACTGCACCTGCATCACACTTTTCCCAAGTGCCAGACAAGCCCGTGCTGTCACAGGCTGAATCTTTGCAGTTTCTGCTCCAGCCTATAGATAGGAATCCTGTCATTTTAAGTGACTGATTACCCAGGGCCTTAACACTACTCCCTATTTCAGAAAAGCCAGTCAGCAATTAAAAAGAACAAACACAGGTAGTCCCAACCCTGTTCCAGTTCCTGGTTCCAGTCATTTATAAGGGCTATTTATATCTCTGCCCTTAGACTTTTGTTTCTTTCTATCTTGTTTTGCTTAGGTGGGAGCGGGGAGGGAGTACCTAAGTGGGTTTCTATTTCATAGCCTCTCCCTAACAAGAGTTCCCAGATTTCATGAAGAAAGCACAGCCTATCTACAACTCCACAGCTATTGAGTACGGAGACAGTGTCCCCCATCACCAAAATGAAGTCTTCCATCTGGCTGCAGAAGGTGGTCAGGAATTTAATCTGTAGTTAGGGGCTCCACAATAAAGATATATCTACAATTTTAATTTAAATTGTAGATAAATTGTTTATCTACAATTTAATCTACAATTGTAGATATATCTACAATTTAATCTACAATTGTAGATATATCTACAATTTTATAACAAATGTCATAACTTCTTCCATAACACATACTCCTAATCATAAAACCATATTCTCAGTTGTAACCTTCTGGGAAGATACTTCCATCAGACATAAAGTGACTCAGGTTGCTGGCATGAGCTTGAATTGCACCAGAATCTAACCACAGAAATAGGTTTCCACAGACGTTACTATTGCAATACATATCTTCTCCTTTACCAAGTGAGTTGTAAATGATATGGTCTTAGACTGGGCATAACGGCTCATGCCTGTAATCCCGGCACTTTGTGAGGCCAAGATGGAAGGACTGCTTGAGCCTGGGAGGTCAAGGTTGCAGTGAGCCATGATGGCGCCACTGCACTCCAGCCTGGGCAACAGAGTGAGACCTTGTCTCAAAAAATGAAAGGAAAAGGGAAAGGGAAAGAGAAAGGGAACGGGAAAGGGGAAGGGAAGGGGAAGGGGCAGGGAAGGGGAAGGGGAAGGGGAAGGGAAGAGAAAGGGAAAGGGGAAGGAAGGAGGAAGCAAGGAGAGAGAAAGTACAAAAGAGCATATAAATATAGCAGCCACTTGCCATATTGGCATCAACCCTAGAGTAAGAAAAGGCAGATTTTGTGACAGTGTAAAAGTGCTTTATGTAAATATAGACCACAGATTAGTGATGACAGAAAAAGAATATATCATAATTTCTTTACATTTAGATTTCTTTGGATTTAGATTTGGAATTTAGATTTAGAATGGATAATAGTATGGAGTGAATTTTTTCCCTTTTCAATTTTCTTTTTTTCTTTTTTCTTTTTTTTTTTGAGACAGAGTCTCGCTCTGTCACTCAGGCTGGAGTGCAGTGGTGCGATCTTGGCTCACTGCAAGCTCCGCCTCCCAGCTTCATGCCATTCTCCTGCCTCAGCCTCCCGAGTAGCTGGGACTACAGGCGCCCGCCACCACGCCTAGCTAACTTGTTGTATTTTTAGTAGAGACGGGTTTCACCATGTTAGCCAGGATGGTCTTGATCTCCTGACCTCATGATCCACCCGCCTCAGCCTCCCAGAGTGCTAGGATTAGGCGTGAGCCACCGCGCCCGGCCTTCCCTTTTCAATTTTCATGTCATTTTTTTGTTTGGTTTGAGACGGAGTCTCGCAGTGTCGCCCAGGATGGAGCGCAATGGCATGATATCATCTCACTGCAGCCTCCACCTCCCGGGTTCAAGAAATTCTCCTGCCTCAGCCTCCTGAGTAGTTGGGATTACAGGCACACACCATCATGACTGGCTAATTTTTGTATTTTTAGTAGAGACAGGATTTCACCATGTTGGCCAGGCTGGTCTCGATCTCCTGACCTCGTGATCTGCCTACCTCGGCCTCCCAAAGTGCTGGGATTACAGTCGTGAGCCACCATGCCCAGCCTGGAAAACAGTATTTTGACTGGATATTGTGAGGCTAAAGATGAAAGGAACTGTACACAAACTCTGTAATCTAATTAGTAAATTTGCTTCTCATAGAGGTATGCATTAGCAATTCTGAAATCATTTTAAGATTGGACAGAAAATGATGATGATGATGAAGATAGATGGATAGATAGGATAGAGATGTATGTATGCAGCATGTATGTATACATATTCACGTATATATGTAAATATACATACTTATCCTAGCTGTACTGAAGTGGCCTAAAAGCACTGATAACCCAACAGCAATGAGCCCAGCTAGCAACTAAATCTTGGTTTCTAAATACCATTCTCCAGCACAAAGAACCAAGGCTCCTTGAGGAAGAGGTTAATTCCAGGGCTGGGGAAGGGAAAATACAAGATGAACCTGGAGTATCTTGTGATGCCAGAGAGCAAGAAAGTGCTCATAATGGATGAGAGCATGTGAAAAGGACACAGGAGCCAAGCCAAAGGACCTCTCAATAGCCAAAGTGGGAACACTTTGAGCAATAAAATAAATAATGATAGTATTAGATTATAATCCAGAGAATAAAATAAGTAAATAAATAATCTAATGGGTAAATAAATGGGAAAAAAGGAAGAACTTTTCCTTGCAGAATAATTTTAATTAATGAATGAACAAAAAATGAGGAAATAGAAAATTACTTTTGCAAGCAAAATCTACCAAGGAAACTAAAATTAGTAAGTGAAAGTGACAGGAGAAACAGGATATTTGCATAGTTTCAAGTAGCTCATCCAAGATGTTTATTGATTACAAAGGGGAAAATAGTAACTTTATAGTGGAGACAGACAAACCCCACCTTAGCCAAGTGATCAAGGTTAACATCACCAGTAATAAAACACATTGACATCATATATGATCTGATATGATTACTGAGAAAATGGCAGAGAAACCCAAATTGAGATATATTCTACAAAATAGCAGACCAGTATTCTTCAAATATGTCAGTCATGAAAGATAAGGAAAAACTGAGGAACTTCTCCAGATGGAGGAGACTAAGGAGAGATGACAACAAATGTAATGTGGAATCCTGGATTAGATACTCAAACCAATAGAGAACATTCATGGAAAAACTCTTGAGATTCAAATAATGTCATTAGTCATTAGTATATTACTGTACCAATGTTAATTTCCCATTTTTAATCATTGTATTATGGTTATAGGAGATGTTAATTTTAGGGGAAGCTAGGTGAAGGACATATGGGAGCTTTAGCCTATTCTTGCAACTTTTCTGTCCAAAATTGTTTCAAACTTAAAAAATTATCTCATGTTTCTAACATATATCTAACATATATATCCTTCAATCAATAGCCAGTTACCACAAAGATCTTGTGGGTAGAATGCTAAAAAACGATCTTCCCTCAATGAGGTGTTTTTTGTTTTTTTTCTTTTGAAACAGGATCTTGCTCTGTTACCCAGGCTGGAGTGCAGTGCGGCAATCTCACTGCAACCTCAGCTTCCGGGTTCAAGCCATTCTCCTGCCTCAGCCTTCCAAGTAGCTAGGATTACATGAGTGTGCCACCACTCCAGGCTAATTTTTGTATTTTTAGTAGAAACGGGGTTTCCATGCTGGCCAGGCTGGTGTCAAACTCCTGACCTCAAGAGATCCGCCCACCTCGGCCTCCCAAAGTGCCGGAATTACAGGTGTGAGCCACCGCGCCCAGCTCCTCAATGACGTTTTTATTGCTTACTCACAAGTTCAAATCAGATAAGAAACAATGTTTGCTGATCTCTTAAAGAGCAACTTTCCATTGCTAGGACAGTATAATTTTTTTTTTTTTTTTTTTTTTTTTGAGACGGAGTCTCACTCTGTCGCCCAGGCTGGAGTGCAGTGGTGTGATCTCGGCACACTGCAAGCTTCGCCTTCCAGGTCCACATCATTCTCCTGCCTCAGCCTCCCAAGTAGCGCTGGGAACTACAGGCTCCCGCCACCACACCTGGCTAATTTTTTTTTTTTTTTTTTTGTATTTTTAGTAGAGACAGGGTTTCACCGTGTTAGCCAGGATGGTCTTGATCTCCTGACCTCGTGATCCGCCCGCCTTGGCCTCCCAAAGTGCTGGGATTACAGGCGTGAGCCAGCGCGCCCAACCAGGACGGTGTAATTTTAAGTATATTATTGCTCAAGAGTTTTTCAGCTGTAAAGTGATGGGAATGAAATTCAACTTGAACTTTTTTTTTTTTTTTTTGAGATGGAGTCTTGCTCTGTCACCCAGGCTGGAGTGCAGTGGCGCGATCTCGGCTCACTGCAACCTCCGTCTCCCGGGTTCAAGCGATTCTCCTGCCTCAGCCTCCCGAGTAGCTGGGACTACAGGCAAGCGCCACCAAGCCCAGCTAATTTTTGTATTTTCAGTAGAGACGGGGTTTCACCACGTTGGCCAGGATGATGCCGATCTCTTGACCTCGTGATCCGCCTGCCTCCGCCTTCCAAAGTGCTGGGAATACAGATGTGAGCCACTGCGCCCGGCCTTATTTAACCAAAGTAAAAAAGGGCCACCGCAGGGGAGGTAGAAGTTGGTAATTTTTGGCTCGTGTAGCTGTGAGGATTTGCGGGGCAGGTCATAGAATCTAAGGGAGAGCTACCAGAAGCCAGGGCCTTGAACTCCCTTCCCCTCCCCTCCTCCCCCCACACCCCTCCCCTCCCCTCTGCCCCCTCCCCTCCCCTGCCCTCCTCTCCTCTCCTCTGCCTGCACATTGGAATCATTCTCCCCTGCTATAGTAAGACTTCCTCCACGTAGCCGGGGAAGATGGCCACCAGCAAGGCAATGCACTCAATCCAAGTAAACAATTCCAACAGAAAAGAGAGAGCAGTTTCCTTCCAGCCACTTCTTTTTTTCGTTTGTTTGTTTTTTTTGTTGTTGTTGAGTCAGAGTTTTGCTCTGTGGCCCAGGCTGAAGTGCAGTGGCGTGATCTCGGCTCACTGTAAGCTCTGCCTCCTGGGCTCATGCCATTCTCCTGCATCAGCCTCCCGAGTAGCTGGGATTACAGGCATCCGCCTCCACACCCGGCTAAGTTTTGTATTTTATAGCATTTTTCAGAAAGAATTTTAATTGGCCCTGCTAAGGTCACACGCTCAATCTTTTGGTCCAATCAGTTTCCAAGGATATAGAGCTCTATGATGGGCTAAGCCTGGGTAATACTGCTGCTGGCATTGAAATGCACCTCCCAGATTTTCCTCAAGAAAAGACTGGCTGCCCAGCTGCAAGCAGTGTGGTTAGCTGGTGCCCAATTCTTCTTCCTCTTTTCACAAATGTTACTCAATAATCTTTCACAAGCGTAACCAACCTGGGACCCATACCCTGCCTGGGGCTGCACCACACCACCAGAACCATATATAATGTGGGTGAACAGGCTTTTCAAAGAAATGAATGATTTGTGTTTAATAATTATTTATAAACAATTGTAAGACAGGTTGTTTTGACCAATGGGATATTAACAATCATTGTAATGATAACTGAAACCAGAATAAATTTTTGGTATTTAGATTTTTATTTTATTTTTATTTTTTAGCGATGGGGTCTTGCTGTGTCACCCAGACTCAAGTGCAGCGGCATGATCATAAAAAGAGCTTAATTTACATACCTACTTTTGTTGCAGAGAACTATGACAGAGTGATCAAATAAAAGGCTTTCAGAAATAAAAATACCTATATTAGGATAATATTCTGTGGGAAAATCAGAAGTGAAATGGAAGTTGGCAAGGAACAGGAATAATGTAAAATTTCTGACTATTAAAGAGCTTGTTTGAGCATTTTTTAAACAGGTGTGTATAGGTTGTAAATTGCCATGGAGCAATCTGGAGCTGAAGAGCTGGCACAGGGGACCAGCCACCACCAAAACAGGTGTGTGGACTCTTCTAGGATTCTCAGAAATACTTTCAGAATGAATGAGAGCTTAATCAATGGCTGGACATCTTGCATTTGGGATCTCAAATTATCATTATTGGTATTGAGGAGAACAGAGACCCCTATGAACACTTAAGAATAAGCAGACATGGAGGTTCCATTATGTACATAATATATGTATTACTACTTTTCAGTTGAAAATAAGTGCCATATTAATTAATTAAAAATACATTTCCTTAATCCATTCAAGAATCCCTTGAAGCCACCTCCTGCCTAAAGGTCTGATAAATACATGTGCTATGGTTTGAATGTTTGTGTCCTTGTAAAATTCACATTGAAAATTAATCCCTATTGTGATGGTATTAAGTGGTAGGGCTTTGGGGGAAGTGATTGAGTCATAAGGGCTGCCTGGCTCTCCCACCTTTTCTGCCATGTGAGGACACAGCTTTCATCCCTTTTGCCCCCTTCACCATGTGAGGACACAGCAAGAATATGCAAGCCCTCACCAGATACTTTTAATAAGTATCCCAAGTGATTTTGTTATATAGTCAAGATTAAAAACCACTGAAGATCCCTTCTAACCCAGAGGTTACTTAATTCTAACTGTAGCTGGTGCCTTCCTTATGGCAATCAAAGGTATTTGAAAAAATCATTCCAGTTTAGTATATAACAAAAGTGACAAGTCAGGAAAATATGAACTTTGTGGTAAGCAGCATTGTTATAACTGTATACTCTTAAGATAAAGATAAAATTGGATCTGTTTCTCATATTGTACATGAGAATAAATTCAAATTAGATGAGAGATTTAAATGTAAATAAACAATATAAGATCTAGAAGAAAATAGGAGTAAATACCTTTATAACCTAAAAGTGAGGTAAATTTTCCTAAAACTCACATTTCAAAAGAAATAAGAGAAAAGATTAACCATTTTTACTATCTAAAACCTTAATTTTAAAAATGTATAGCAAAAAAAAATGAGCAAAGTATCAATTTGAAATCACTTTGTATTTTATTCTTAAAATGTGTATTTGTTTCTTTGCTCTAACCCCCGAAAAAGCCCAGTGACAATGAGCACCTCTAGTATCTAAATTATGGTCTCTAACTAACATTTCCCACTAAAAGAAGCCAAGACTCCTTGGGAAAATTGTCAATGTCAGGTCTGAGTCAGAAAATATATAAATTGATCTGGGAACATCTTGTTGTACAAGAAAGCAAGCAATATGGTTTAAAAGAACAATTTTAGCATCAATAAGAATAACTGCAATGGGCTGGTTGCAGTGGCTCACCATTATCCCAGCACTTTGGGAGGCCGAGGCGGGCAGATCACTTAAGGTCAGGAGTTCAAGACCAGCCCAGCCAACATGGTAAAACCCCATCTTGACAAAAATACCAAAATTAGCCAGGCATGGTGGCACATGCCTGTAATCCCAGCTACTCCAGAGGCTGAGGCATGAGAATTGCTTGAACCCAGGAGGCAGAGGTTGCAGTGAGCCAGGATCGCACCATTGCACTCCAGCCTGGGCGACAAGGAGAGACTTCATCTTAAAAAATAAAACAATATAACTGCAACGGATCAAAATGCACCAAATATGTTTAAATTCATGAGTTCATAATGAAGCTAAAAAAAACTTTCCGTCATTGGATACTTTTGAAAAATGCTAGGAAACAACTCATTATTTTGAAAACTGGTGAATAAAGGGAATAAATAAAATATATATTTGCCTTTTTATAGGAATTATACCTCAAGGTAACCAAATGGTTGATGAGGAGAATTTTGTTTTTTTTTAGAATCATTTCAGCTAATAAATGAAAAAGGAATATGTGTTAGTTCTTGTCCGTTGAGAAGCAGATGTCCAGACTGGATGAAATGCAAAAGGATTTTACTTGAGGAAATGATTGTGTAAAAGGAAATAGAGAAGGAGCAAGAGAAGGCTGGGAAGGCTGTCAGACTGTGGTGCAAAAGGGTGAAGATGAAGAGAAGGCTGGTTAAAGCATCCTAAACTGCTCTGCAGTATAAGGAGGTTTGCCAAAGCCATCGAGCCAAAGTTAACTTACAAAGGCATCCCATGTCTCCCAGAAACAGGTCTACCGTAATATCCCCATTGCACTCAGTTATTGCTGGAAGGAATGGCCTCAGTACAAATGCAGCGCTGTATTTCAAAGCATAGCAGCTGGGGCCTGACTTCACTTACACTCCATGCAGTAGGAGGTCTCCTAGGCATATTCTCACGGCCATCTCAGCACGATATAATTAGAATATGACTATTTTGCAACCTCTACTGAAGGAATGGATCCAGCAATGATCATCAACCAACATTAGAAAAAGAAAATCAACTAAACATATGTGTCTTCTTAGGACAGTATATGGTAATACCTATGAAGTATTCTTGCCAAAAAAATTTTACCTGAATCTGATCAAGCTTCTAGGGCTAATTACCACTATACAGGAAATACAAGGGAACAGAGGAAGGGGTTAAATGACATAACGGGGGTAAAATCTGCCAATCTAGACCATAGGAAACACTGGAGACAAACAACCAGGTTTATTCCATATATAAATTGTGTGCGTTGAGGCCGATGGTTGTAAGAAGTAGGGAAAGGGAGAGGACACCTATAGATTTTAAAAGACTTAAGACATATGTCAGCAAATGGCAATGTATACACCTTATTTAGATCTTGATTCAAACAAAAACAAATGTTTAATATTATGAGACAATCAGGAAAATCTGAACACTGAATAGTTGATAATATAAAAAACTCGGGGGGCTAGGTCTGATATATTTGGTTTGTAGTTTTATAAATGGAGGTTTTGTTAGATATACATACTAAAATACTTAGTGATATTTATCTTCTAAAGATGTATACTAAAATATTAACTGATGAAATAATATGATGTCCAGAAACTGCATCAAAATAATCCAGGGAGAAAGAACTAATAATCTGGTGTGGCAATAGACCGAATAATATTAACCATAGTTGAAAATTGTTGAAGTTGGATGATGGGTCCATACAGTTCTCTCAACTTAATTCTAGGTTAAATACAATGATTGTAACAATATGCGAGAGCCAAGAAGAGGTGTATGAAACCTTCTCTACATCATGGTCTATGAACCACAGGAGTTCAGTAGGGCAGCCATCCTGTTGTCCACCTTTTTCCCAAGCAGGAGCACCCAGTTCCAAGGGAGCTCTCCTGGCTGAAGCAAAGAATGCACACCAGCCTGGGCAACATGGAGAAAGCTGTCTCTGTAAAAAAAAAAATACAAAAATTAGTTGGGCATGGTGGTGCATTCCTGTAGTCCCAGCTACTTGAGAGGTTAAGGTAGGAGAATCACTTGAGCCCAGGAGGTTGTGGCTGCAGTGAGTCGTGGTGCACCGCTGCAGTCCAGCCTAAGTGATAGAGCGAGACCCTGTCTCCAAAAGAAAAAAAAAGAAAGAATGCACAAAATGATCTATACCTACATGCAAGGATATAAGTGAATCTTCGCAATATGTGTTAGATCTTCCTTGCAAATTATATGAAGTGTCTACTAAGTGGAAGAGAAATAAAATGAATAAGAAAATAAGGTCAGGCGCAGTGGCACACACCAGTAATCCCAGCACTTTGGGAAGCTGAGGCGTGTGGACCACTTGAGGTCTGGAGTTCAAGACCAGCCTGGCCAACATGTTGAAACCCCATCTCTACCAAAAAATACCAGAAAAAAATTAGCCAGGCATGGTGGCACATGCCTGTAGTCCAGCTACTCAGAAGGCTGAGGAAGGAGAATCACTTGAACCCAGGAGGCAGAGGTTGCAGTGAGCCAAGATCACACCACTGCACTCCAGTCCAGGCAACAGAGTGAGAATCTGTCTCAGAAAAAAAAAAAAAAAAAAGAAGAAGAAGAAGGAAAGGGAAGGAAAGGGAAAGGGAAGGGAAGGAAAATGATCCCCCTGCTTGAGCCTCCCAAAGTGCTGGGATTACATCCTCTTAAAGTGCTGGCTTAACCCCAGCACTTTGGCAGGCCAAAGCAGGGAACTGCTTGAGCCCAGGAGTTCAAGACTAGCCCAGGCAACATAGGGAGACTCCAATCTCTAAAATAAATTTAAAAATTAGCCAGGCGTGGTGGTGTGGTCCCAGCTACTCGGGAGGCTGAAGTGGGAGGATCACTTGAGCCTGGGAGGTTGAAGCTGCAGAGAGCTATGATGGCACCACTGCACTCCAGCCTAGGTGACAGAGTGAAGTTAAGTAGTGCCCCTGCCTAAAAAAAAAAAGCCAGAATTATGTGATGAAGGGTAACGAGGACCTACTTCAAGTAGGACTGAAGGAAAGGTGTGGAGACCTGAACAAGAGTTCAGATAAGATAGATAAGAGTTCTAGATAAGAACATTCTAGACAGAGGAAACCAGAAGTGCAAGGTCCTAAGGAAGAGTGAGCTTTGTTTCGGGAACAGAAGGAAGGCCAGTGCAAATGGAGAATGGCCATGATGGAATTTGGATTTTATTCCAAGTGCAAGGGGAAGCAATTGGAGTGGTTTTGTTGGAGTTACAAATTTGATTTACACATTTGAAAGATGATCCTGGCTGCTATATTGGAGGGCAGGAATGCAGGCAGGGAAACAAACAAGGAAGCTTTTGCAACACTCCAGATGAGAGTTATAGAGGATGACGGTGGAGATGGAGAAAAGCAGATGGATTAGTTACACATGTCAGAGGTAAAACCAACAGCTCTTGCCAGTTGAATGGATGGGAAGTGAGGGATGACTTTTAGACTTTTGGCTTAATCATTGAGTAGATTGTGGTGCCAATTACTGAGGTGGAGAAGGTTAGAAGGTGTGTGTGACAGAGGATGAGAACTGAAGGTTTCAATGGGGACATGCTAACCTTGAGGTCCTAATTTGAATATTTACATATTCAAAGATATGTAAAGTTGGCAGTTTTTCTAGAATGGTCCCTATTTCAAGTCTATCCCATTATCTGCATAAGTCAAGATTTTGGGTCAGCAAAGTAGTTACCTGTCTCTTCTGCTGAGTCCTGCCTCTTCATCTTGGCTCATTCTATTCCACCTCTGCATCATCACCAGTTCAAAATCTATCCTTCAAAGTTAGCTTCATATAGAAAAAAATAATTTACTTTCCCAACCCACAGGGAATCTTACCAGTAGTTAATTCCTATTATATTGTATTCTGTCCTCATTTTCTTTCTGCTGGTATGGCTTCACAAATTTTCTTTGATCTTTTTTTTTTTTTTTTGAGACAGCGTCTTGCTGTGTCACCCAGGCTTGAACACAGTGGCACAAACACAGCTCACTGCAGCCTTGAGCTCCTGAGCTCAAGTGATCCTCCTGCCTCAGCCTCCCACGTAGCTGGGACCACAAGTGTGCACCACCATGCTCAGCTACTATATTTTTTGTAGAAACAGGTCTCACCATCTTGCCCAGGCTGGTCTCAGACTCCTGGGCTCAAGTGATCCACCCACCTCGGCCTCCCAAAATGCTGGGATTACAGGCATGAGCCACTGCATGTGGCTCTGTTCACGTTTTCTAGTTGTCTGCAATATATCACCTTGTGTTGCCCTCCAATTGCTCCCAGCATACCTTAAAAAGATGGACTGAACATATAAGATCCATTATTCCCCATTCTGGGTAACATAATGGTAAAGATGGACATGGCCTTGATGTAATTTGACCTCTTTCCTTCATGCATTCATTCAGGACCAGGACCAGGGTGAGGCAAACAAGGTCCCTACGGGCACAGAATTTAAGAAGGCACTCACTCTTGATGAAACTGGAGGACCAAAATGTAAGTATTTTTTTTGTTCTTCTATATACTATGTGGCCAATATTGCCTTTCTAAAAGATAGTACCAATTTATAATGCCACCAAAAATCAACCAGTCTACTATCAGTTTGTAAAACTTTGTCAAGGCTGGGTGGTGTTTTTTTTTTTTTTTTTTTTTGAGACAGAGTCTTGCTCTATCACCCAGGCTGGAGTGCAGTGGTGCAATCTCGACTCACTGCAACCTCCACCTTCCGGGTTCAAGCAAGTCTCCTGCCTCAGCTCCCCGAGTAGCTGGGACTACAGGTGCCCACGACCATGCCTGGCTAATTTTTTTGTATTTTTAGTAGAGACGGGGTTTCACTATATTGGCCAGGCTGGTCTCGAACTCCTGACTTTGTGATCTGCCCACCTCGGCTTCCCAAAGTGCTGGGATTACAGGCGTGAGCCACTGCGCCCGGCCTGGATGTTATTTTTTTATTTTTTATTTTATTTATTTATGTATTTATTTTGAGACAGAGTCTCGCTCTGTTGCCCATGCTGGAGTGCAATGGCGCAATCTCGGTTCACTGCAACCTCTGTCTAACAGGTTCAAGCAATTCTCCTGCCTCAGCCTCCCAAGTAGCCGGGATTACGGGCATGTGCCACCAAGCCCGGCTAATTTTGTATTTTTAGTAGAGACGAGGTTTCTCCATGTTGGTCAGGCTGGTCTCGAACTCCCGACCTCAGGTCATCCGCCCGCCTCGGCCTCCCAAAGTGCTCGGATTACAGGCATGAGCCACCCCGCCCAGACATATTTTTTATTTTTTTGAGACGGAGGTTTGCTCTTGTTGCCCAGGCTGGAGTGCAATGGCGTGATCTCGGCTCACCACAACCTCTGCCTCCCGGGTTCAAGCAATTCTCCTGCCTCAGCCTACTGAGTAGCTGGGATTATAGGCATGCGCCACCACGCCCAGCTAATTTTGTATTTTTAGTAGAGACGAGGTTTCTCCATGTTGGTCAGGCTGGTCTCAAACTCCCGACCTCAGGTGATCTGCCTGCCTCGGCCTCCTAAAGTGCTGGAATTACAGGCATGAGTGACCGTGCCCGGCCAAGCTTACCGATTTTTAAGATGTACTTTCCCCCTTTAATACAATAAATAACTAGTACATATTTGTTGACATCTTTTTGATTTTTCAATTTTTTAATTTTTTATTTTATTTATTTATTTGAAAAAAGGAGATGAGATCTCACTATGTTGCACAGGCTGGTCTCAAACTCCTGGGCTCAAGTGATCCTCCCGCCTTGGCCTCCCAAAGTGCTGGGATTACAGGTGTGAGTTACCACACCTGGCCATGTTGCCATCTTTTTATTGTGGAGTTTATACATAGTATTTGGAAGAAAATAGGCTATCTGGAATTCCACATGTCTCTTTTTCTTTCTCCTTCTTCAGATTTCTTTGTTTCTTTGTTTCCCCTAATATTGATTATGTGTTAGGCACTGTTTTAAATGTTTTGCATGTATTAATTTTTTGAATTTTCCCTACAATCCTGTGGGGTAGGTGCAATTATTACGCTCATTTGACAAGGAACCTGAGGCATAGAAATGTTAAGTGGCTAGCAGATGGCAGCTAGGAATTGGGACTGAAAAGGGACTCTAAGCACTTAGAGTCTGCCATAATGCCACACATTCTCACTGTACAACCTCACACAATAGCCTTGTTCTAGTGGGAAAGATTTCCCATCCGCAAAAACTTCAGAGTGAATGACAGGAAAGCTGGCCACTCTCATTTCTTAATTTTTTTTTTTTTTTAGAGACACGGTCTTGCTGTCACTCCGGCTGGAGTGTGGTGACACAACACAGCTCACTGTAACCTCAAATTCTTGGGCTCAGGCAATCCTCCTGCCTCAGCCTTCCAAGTAGCGGGGACTACAAGCCTACGGGCACTTACCACCATGTCTGGCTAATTTTTTAATTTTTTGTTTTTGTTTTTGTTTTTTTTTAGAGACAAGGTCTCACTGTGTTGGCCAGGCTTGTCTTGAACTCTGACCTTAAGCAGTCCTCCGCCTGGGCCTCCCACTGTGCCGGCCCACCCTCATTTCTGAAAGGTTTTGTTAAACAAAGTTTATGAGAGGCCATTGTTATGGACTAGCCTCCTGCTCTAGGCCCCAGAAAATCAGACCAAACCAGAATGAAGTCGCTTGTGCTAAGTGACATATAATCAAACTGAACTTTGAAATGGACCAGTTTTCCAAAAAACAGGAGATTTCAGTCAACCTCAGTCAGTGTAGTAAGGAAGTCCTCTCTGTTTTAGTCCTATAAGGAAAGTAACTTTGAAACAACCAATCTATCTTTTTTTCTCTGTTTCCGCTTTCTTCATACTCACCAGGACACTCATTCTATTTTATAGAATGATGTGTTGCTTGATTCTAGAATTGCAAATAAAAGGCAATTACATCTTCTAAACTAAATTTGTTGTAATTTTGTCTTTTGATAGTTTAAACTATGGGATCAGAAATTCAAAGACTATGAATAAAAATTTCAAAAGAAAGAAATAGTAATACCACCAATAAGAAGAATAATTAAAAAGGTACAAAGAAATTGGATGCAACATTGTAAAAAGAGCCATAGTTTGGAGCTGAGCTGACATGAGCTAAAATCCTAGGTGAGTAACTTGTTAGCTATGTGGCCTCTGAAAGTCAGCTCAAGAATCTGAGCTTGTTTCCTCACCTCTAAAATTGAAAAAATAAGGCCTAACTATCAAAGTCATTAACAAGTCATTGATAATGCTTGGCCTATTTTAATGTTCAGTATCTGTAAGTTGATACCATTAAAGGATGCTTGAGATGCCAACTACTATATAATCTGAAACAATAATGATCTTTTTTTTCCCCACAAAGATAACAAAAAACAAACACAAAAAAACAACAGTAAGCTCTGCCAGACATGTAAAACCAATCAAACTATATAATGAATTAAATCCTTTCCCCATTAAAAAGACGTATCAGTGTACCTAACACAATATAGGAAAAGAAACACACCTTATTTGGCAAGAGATATATTCATTCTCCAGATAAGAGAAACACACATTGAAACCACTTCTGCTGGATTACTCTGGCCAATAAGAGCGTCTGAAACTGTTCTATGTACTATGCCCTGCGATAGAAACACAGTTACCTCTCCCCTTTCACGTAGTTTTCATTTGTGGTGAGATTCTCTCCCAGGCCACAAGACATTTCCTGCTCGGAACCTTGTTTACTAATTGTAAGTACTTTACAAGTAAGAACTTGTTTTAAAAACTTAGCATTCAAAAAAAAAAAGCTTTCTTTAAAAGTTATTTGATTTTCTTGTTTTTTTCTTAGCATGTTATATTTTGAGTTTCAGCTAAAAGACTAAGGTTTTCTTATCTAATTGCTTTAAATTTATACATTTAGTCAAATTCAACAATTTCTTGCTAAGCATTTTGCCAAATGCCAGGCTTTTCAAAGTAGTGTAAGATCCCAGCCTTGAATCCTCATCAATTGCTGCTTTCTGCAGCAAACACATATTATACATTGTATTTAGTAACATGATCATTAATTTCACTCTTTATTTCAATATGTATGCATGTTGACTTATGCCGGTCTAATTTCTTTCTGCTTTACAAATATTCTATTTTATCCATTCAAAGTATTTAGAAACAAGATATGGAATTTTGTAGATTTAGCTAATGAATTATAAGAATTCTTGAATTCTCACTATGAAAGTAAGAAAAACAGACTAGAATTCTTCAAAATTAAATTCTGGTGCTTCATTTATATGTATAAAGAGAGATGGAGAGATTATGAAATGGAAATGTTTCAATCAAAGCAAAAAAATGAAATTTAACATCAATAAACAGTAGAAGAGAAAAATCTCAATAATATGTCTAGTATCTGGATTAATCAATATTAATAATATGTATTAATATTACTATAATTAATATCATGTATTATATTAATATTAATGTATTTTATTAAGATAGTGGGCTGTCCTCAGGAGTGAAGTGCTCATAGAAAGGAGAGACAAATACAAGATTGATTCTTAACTAATAGATAAAATTAAGGTGTTTAAAATATGAGCCAAATACTGCAAGATTTCCTGACATTGAGACCATTCCACAGAACTTCCTAAAGAAAGGTATTCTAGTCTCATTCTCCAAAGCTTGCCCACCAAGATTCCCATTTCACTACCTCCTGCCCCCATTTTTCCTGCATTTTCCAAGGTGGCCCCTGCCAACTTTTTTTTAATCACTCTCTCTGCTCCTGTGGGGTTAAAGATGGCATGGAACAAAACAGCTGTGTGGTCACACCACAACGGGCAGAACTGCTGGCCACAGATAGGAAACCTCAGGCATCTCCTTAGCCCTTACCAAATCCAGCCCAACACGTTTACACACCCTGGCACTCAATAAAATATTTGCTGAATTAAATTGGATCTGTAGTTATTAGTAACAGAAGAAAAATAAGGCCACTGGTCGTGGGTTACAAAATGTGCTCTGCAAGGCCACTGGCATTAGAATCTTGTGAAGTGCCCAGGATACTGCACAGGCCCGCACCTGAAGGGAGAGGAGCTAGTTTGGAATGTGCTCCCGGGAATGCGAGAGGGTCTAGCATGGGCTTCATCGCATGGAGGAAGGTGTACCGTTTTTCGAATTCTCACCGAAGCAGCTACGTGCTCACCAAGCCGTGTCTGTGAGAAGGGCCACGTTTTTCTAGTTCATAGGACAAAAGCCTATGGCATAAGGGCAGCAGCCCTGCGGGTGCACGTTACAGACTTTTAGACCCTAGCTCATTCTATCTAAACCACAATCTCTGAACAGTGTGTAGAATTCTACATTGTACAGATTCCTCAACCCTAGCTCATTCTATCTAAGTCACAATCTCTGAGCAGTGTCTAGAAATCTACACGTTAAAGAGCAGTCCAAGTGGTTTTACTAATAGTAAGCTTTGAGGACCACTGAACTAAGGAGACAAGCTGGTACCTAAGGTCCTAGGAACTCTAGATTTTCAAGGACGTTTTCTCTCCACTTATTGCTGACCTTTTACCTTGAATGGCTAAGGCTAAAGACTTCATGGCTGAAGCAAAGAGAATTGTGGTTGTTTGAACAAGCAACAATTTTACATTTGTTTCTGTTTTACATTTGTTGCAACTTAAAAGATACCTTGAATTTTTAAATGATCACAGAGGCGCGTACAAATGAGTGTGTTTGCTTTCTCATCTGTTTTATAACTTTCAAGAAGGTATTTCTTTGAATAAGATATCTCACGGGAGAAGTTATTAGACCCTTTTTAGAATCAGCTAGAAGTGACAGATGGAAGTCCTGGATAGCAGTTCCCTTTAGGACTACTCTTCTACGCAGGGATAAGCCGAGTAGACTTCTCCACCAATATAGGTAATCTGTGCTAGAAAGGAACTTACAATAGCATCAGAAACCTCCTGGGGCCCCCCATTCTGCTCCAGTTCCTAGTGCTAATATTCACAGAAGCACCTGGGTCCCTGCAATCTCCCACATTCAAAAGAGGAAGTCAAAAGTACAAAAGTAGTGAAGGAAACAGAAACATACAATGTTGACTGTTGGGCTAAAGACTGTTGAGGCTACTACATGGAGGAAGTAATGTTCACACAAACTAACTGGCAGTTAGCATATGGATATTTGAGATACAGCTGATACATATATATATATATATATACATATATATATATACATATATATATATATAAATTTTTTTTTTTTTGAGACGGAGTCTCGCTCTGTCATCCAGGCTGGAATGCAATGGCACGATCTTGGCTCACCACAACCTCCACCTCCTGGGTTCAAGCGATTCTCCTGCCTCAGCCTCCCGAATAGCTGGGATTACAGGCATACACTACCACACCCAGCTAATTTTGTATTTTTAGTAGAGACAGGGTTTCTCCATGTTGTTCAGGTTGGTCTCGAACTCCCGACCTCAGCCTCCCAAAGTGCTGGGATTACAGGCGTAAGCCACCACACCCAGCCGATACAGCTGCTTACTATAGAATATAGAGATGGCCACTGAGTGGATTTCAAAGGCACTCAGAAAATGTTCAGGACTCAAACTGCTATGAAGTCTAACATTAGCCAATTTGAATACAAAAACACATATGCCATACACTAAGTAAATACAGTCAGGTAAAGGAAAAACAATTACATAATTGCAGGGTGGTTTTTATTCTGAAATCTTCAGATTGCTGTTATTATATTAAAAAACAGAATATAGGCTTCTTGAAAAAATAAGGGTGTTAAATGAACATGTTTTTCCTCTGAAAGAGTTGTAGGATCATCTTTATTTATTGAATACCAGTTTCATGCCAAGCATTGGCTAAGGGCCAAGAGGGAAAAAAATACAAACAGCTATAGTATCATTTGTATGACTTGCCCCCTCCTTTTTTTTTATTTTTTTATTTTTTTTTTGGAGATAAGAGTCTCGCTCTGTCACCGAGGATCCACCTGCCTTGGCCTCCCAAAGTGCTAGGATTACAGGCGTTAGCCACCGTGCCTGGCCTGGTATGACCCCTTAAAATTTTTTTTCTAGTCACTGGATTTGCTTTTTGTTTCTGAAAAGGATATTTCTTGTTTTGCTTATAAAAGAAATAAATGCTAATTATAAAAAAAATTATCGGCCATGGGTGGTGGCTTACACCTGTAATTCCAGTGTTTTGGGAGGCCAAGGCAGGAAGATCACTTGAGGCCAGGAGCTCAAGGTCAGCCTGGGCAACATAGTGAGACCCCCATCTCTACAGAAAACGAAAACAAATTAGCCAGGCATGGTGGTGTGCACCTGTAATCTCGGCTACTCAGGAGGCTGAGGTGGGGGGATCACTTGAGCTCAGGAGTTCCAGGCTGCAGTGAATTATGATCGTGCCATTCATTGCACTCCTGCCTGGACAACAAAGAGACCTTATCACAAAACAACAACAACAAAAAGTCTATCAGCCAATCACCTAGGGATAGCCACTTGACATTACGGATAATTAGCCTTTCATATTTTTTCTGGTATTTGATAACCAAGATGAAATGCAGAAGAAATTTGAATACATATTCTCTAGCATTTCCTGTAATGCTTCTTCCTCCAGGATTTCAAATGTGGGAAGCCATCACCCAAAAATATGGTTTCGACCATGTTAGTACTGGAGTTGGGATTTAGGGAAGATCTGGTCCCCACCTGTGGAGGTCTGCAGAGTCAGGTGAAACATTAGCCTTGTTTGCGTTTCCAGGGCTGGGCTCTCGCCACTGTTTGCTATGCACCATCTGGAGCCTGCATCACGCATGGCCTCAGCCAGCCCGGAAGCGGAGAGCGTGGTGGCGGGGGCGCTAGTGAGCTCCTCCTGTGTACCAGGTCCCGAGCTAAGGTTTTGAGACACCTCAGTGAACTTGGCCCACAAAATCCCCTGCCTTTGTGGAGCTTACCCTCAGTGTTGGGGATTTGGGACTTACTTTTCCCAAAGCCAAGCTAATTATTGTAAAAGGGGTGAGTGACGAAAACGGAATCATTGCAAGGTCCTTACCTCTTATTTCATGAGATTGGCGGCATGAGTGTGTCTAGAGAGCTGTGGTTGCTTACTCTTACACGTGGGCGTGTACCCCAAGACTAGAATCCAGGGTCCATCTAATAAGCATTCAAATCAGCGGGCGGGGGAGGGGGTGGGTGATAGTTTCTTGTCTTACTTTCCAATCCCAGCGTTGCTCAGCCCATACCATCTGATAAAAACTTTTTACAATTTAGAAATGCCCGGTGAGCCTGGGCGCCCGGAGCGACAGAGCGGCGGGTGCCCGGGAGGAAGCGGCGCCAGCCCTGCCCAGCTTTGCGGCTCCTGGCGCCTGCCGCTGGGGCTGGGCTCCGAGACCGCGCGCCCGCTGCCCGGTTCACGCCGAGTCCCCAGCGGCGCGCCGCCCCGGCGAATGGTCCCCCGAGGGCAGCCATCCGCAGACGCAGTTCCCTGATTGCCCCAGCAAAAATGGGCGGTCTCCTTGGGATAGATTCTGCGCGGGCTGCTCTTAAGAATTTACCGGCAGGCAGGTCTGGTCCCAGCAGAGGAGACCCAGGGGTCCCAGAGCTGGGCTGGCGGGAGGCGTAATCCGGCGGGGTGAGGGTTGATCGAAGAGCCCCGCGCGCAGCTGCCGCTCACAGCCCCTTCCCGAGTGCAGAGCGGGCAGAGAAGGTAAGAAGCCCACCCACCCACTCCCCGCCTCCTGAAGCCCGTGCTTCAGACCTGTCCCTGCAACTGGGGAAGAGCCAGGCGGGCTCTCCGCCTCCTCGATCCTCCTCCCTGGAAGAGGCCCGAAGGCAGCGGCCGCCAGACACACGTTCGCCTAGTCCGTCACCCGACGGCTCTGCCCCTCAACAGGGGCTCCTCCACCGCCACGTACACATCCGCGGCTCATGCACGCCCTGAATGATCGGCTCAGCCGGACCCCCTGGTTTTTTGTTCACTTACTGGAACCTTCTTTTGCAGAAAATCTTGTTTGCTGTGGGATCCACAGATGGGTCCGCCTCCTTCTTTTAGTGTAAAAAAGCAGTGAACGGCTATTATGGTACATTTTTAAAAAAATCAAACAGAAGCCAAAACCACTTTAATGTCTATAGAAGGACACGTCTAATACATTTAAAATAAGCTTCAGCTGTTCTGAATACAGTTCATGGTATTTTTATTTAAAGACAAATTCTTTAGAATGAGCCTGTAAGGTGGGTAGGTCAGAAACCCCATTTTACAGTTTAACAAGTGGACATTTAAACGGCTAGTTAAATGATGAGTCTAAGATCACGGTTTCAGAAACTAAGACTTGGGCAAAGCTGCTCTCACTCCGAATCTAATTCATGTTCCATGACCCTACACTGCCTCTCATGATGTAGAGAAATGAGGAGTAACCTTACCAAATGTACTTCTTAATAAACTGCCCCTACCACACAGCAGGGTCCGTCAGGCCAGCGCTGACACAGGTTTGCAGGCTCCCAGTAAATATGAAGTGAAGGACAAGTCAGGAAGTGGGAAGACTGGAAAGGATTGCTCATCGGAAATCAGTCCAAAACAAAAAAGAATAAATTAGGAACAAGAAGGGGGGATATACACAAAAGTTTAGGATGATGCCATTTTAGAGAATGCTATTTTCTATAATTCACTACTGTCGGCCATGATCACAGGTTGCTCGTTTGTTTCGCAGCCTGTGTGAATACCAGGTACCTGTCTAAAAACAGTACACGAGCAACACTCTTCAGCTCCCTTACCCCACGAGAAGCAACTGTTCACCTTCCCAGTTCCGTGAATTCTGTGGTTTTTGTTTTGGGGGGTTTTGTTGAGGTGGAGTCTCACTCTGTCGCCCAGGCTGGGGTGCAGAAGTATGACCTCGGCTTAATGCAACCTCCACCTTCCCGGTTCAAGCGATTCTCCTGCCTCGGCCTCCCGAGTAGCTGGAGTTACAGGCACGCGCCACCAAGCCTGGCTAATTTTTTGCATTTTTAGTAGAGGCGGGGTTTCGCCATACTGGCCAGGCTGGTCTCGAATTCCTGACCTCAAATGATCCGTCGGCCTCGGCCTCCCAAAGTGCCGGGATTACAGACCTGAGTCACCGCGCCCGGCCCAGTTCGGTGAATTCCTTCCCCTCACCCCCAGGGTCTCTATCTTGTGAAGGGTGGAGATAGAAATTCTGTTCTTCAAACAGAGCAACTTCCTCTACACTGCCTCAGCATCCTGCCCCTAAAGTGGGCCTTTAAAGAGCAACCTCGAGATTTCTTTTATATATATATATATATTTTATTATACTTTAAGTTCTAGGGTACATGTGCACAACGTGCAGGTTTGTTACATATGTATACATGTGCCATGTTGGTGTGCTGCACCCATTAACTCGTCATTTACATTAGGTATATCTCCTAATGCTATCCCTCTCCCCTCCCCCCACCCCACAACAGAGATTTCTAACACCACTCTGCCTTTTCAGTCCACTGCTTTTAAGGCCCTGCACTGAAAATGCAAGCTCAGGCGCCGGTGGTCGTTGTGACCCAACCTGGAGTCGGTCCCGGTCCGGCCCCCCAGAACTCCAACTGGCAGACAGGCATGTGTGACTGTTTCAGCGACTGCGGAGTCTGTAAGTGTGTGGGGAAAGAACCCCCTTATTTGATACCGAGGTGAATTACCAATGACTCAATCCTTCCCCCATTCCTCCCTTATTGTGTAGAAAAAGTTTCTAACTTATTACAAGCACTCTGCATGTCAGGCAATGGTATGTTTAGCAAAAAAAAAAAAAAAAAAAAAAAAAAAAAAAAAAAAAGCCTCCGTATGGATAACTTAATTTTCTCCAGCCCTTCAAAGAACAGTCTTACTCCTAAAATAAGTTCTGGGTTAAGATAATAGCAAAAGAGCTGATTGATTCTAACAACGAGCAGGTCTGGCCTGACTAAATAGAACTTACATTAATTTAAAAATTCCAAGTTGAACTTGATTTTTTTAGAAAGACTGTTCTTGCAACATATAAATTAACCTCATTAATTTATAGTTACATTGTGTCCAGTACCCAAGGGTTAGATTCATGGTTTCCATATGCGTTCAGAGAAAACTATTTTAATGTATATATTTAGGTTTTTTACACACCTGAGAATAAAGAATTCTGGAGGCAATTAGCTTGTCACTGGGGAAAAAAAATCTCTGACTGCTTTGTTTTTTTTTTTGTTTTTTTTTTTTGTTTGTTTTTGAGACGAAGTCTCACTCTTGTCCCCCTGGCTGGAGTGCAATGGCACGATCTCCACTCACTGCAACCTCCGCCTCCCAGGTTCAAGAGATTCTCCTGCCTCAGCCTCCTGAGTAGCTGGGATTACAGGCACCCGTCACCACACCTGGCTAATTTTTGTATTTTTAGTAGAGACAAGGTTTCACCATGTTGGCCAGGCTGGTCTCAAACTCCTGACCTCAGGTGATCCGCCTGCCTGAGCCTCCCAAAGTACTGGGATTACAAGCGTGAGCCACCGCACCCAGGCTGTTTTCTTTTTATAAGATCTCCTTAAAAGATCTCTTACTTAGAGATGTCTCTAAATGAACTTGGAGGAAAGAAGTTTGGGGTGTGATGGGCGTTGCAGCGAGGAGCAAGGTGCTTAGTTCTCAATAATGACCAAGAAATAAACAAACCCACCTGCAGAAAACTTGCTCTGAAGTCTATTTGCTTGTCTTGGTCCACATAGTACTCTAAGGCAAGAAAATAAAATACATTATCCTTTAAAGTTGAAAATGACTTTGAATGAGAGTTGAATTGAACCTTGTTTTTGTTTTTTGTTTTTTTTGAGACACAGTCTCACTTTGTCACCCAGGCTAGAATGTAGTGGTGCAATCTCAGCTCACTGCAATTGTCTGTCTCCCTGGTTCAAGTGATTCTCCTACCTTGGCCTCCGAGTAGCTGGGGTTACAGGCACGCACAACCACACCCAGCCAATTTTTGTATTTTTAGTAGAGATGGGGTTTCATCGTGTTGGGCAGGCCGGTCTCAAACTCCTGACATCAAGTGATCTGCCCACCTCGGCCTTCCAAAGTGCTAGGATTACAGGCATAAGCCACCATACCTGGCCTGAAATTGAACTTTGAATGTGATAAGAATTACAATCAGGCTGGGCGTGGTGGCTCACACCTGTAATCCCAGCACTTTGGGAGGCCAAGGCGGGCAGATCACAAGGTCAGGAGTTCAAGACCAGCCTGGCCAAGATGGTGAAACCCCATCTCTACTAAAAAATACAAAAATTAACCGGGCATGGTGGTGGGTGCCTGTAGTCCCAGCTACTTGGGAGGCTGAGGCAGAAGAATTGCTTGAACCTGAGAGGTAGAGGTTGCAGTGAGCTAAGATCGCACCATTGCACTCGAGGCTGCATCTCAAAAATAAATAAATAAATAAGTAAATAAAATAAAATAAAAATAAAAAAAGAATTACACACTCAGTAGCATAGCAAGGGAAAATTACCTAGGGAATGAAACAATTGTGTTGGTTTTTTCACTCTCATTGTCTGGGGTGACGACTTAAGCTTCTCAGGGCACCAGTTCAACATCTGCAAATCAAAGTGAGAATTAGACTGCATTGGTGAAACTCTCTAAAGATGAACATTTTAACCCTCTCACCCCTAGTATTATTATTACCCAATTAAATGAATACACAAGTTCCAATCAAAGCTTAATTGCTTAATAGCAAATTTTCTTAAATGTAGATCTGATCAAATTATTCTCCCCTCTTAAAATGTTTCAGTGGTTCCTCATAACTCTCATGGCACACTCTTAACACTTACAGTTTTTCATCATCTGGTCCCCAACCTGCCTCAACCCCCAGTTAAATCCTCATCCCATCCCAGGGCTCCAGCCATATTGAATGAACACTAGCCTTTGCCAGGATATGCCAGATTACCTCGAAGAGGCTCTTTTCCTTTTTGTCCACCTTTAAAACATCTAATCATCCTTCAATATTTCCTGAGCATTTCCTACTCAGGGCCTTGTAGGCCCCATTTTTCTGGGTGACCTGTTGGTATTTCAAACACGTTTCTGTTGGAGAACTTTCCCTATGATCTGCCTTCACTACTAGACTTGAGCCAGGGGCACTGTCAGTACTGAGGATAATGTCTGGAAAATGAATAAGTTTTACTGCATCAATGAACAAATGAATGAAGGCAGAACTATGACAAGAATGATATACTTTGCAAAGGCGTGGTCATTCCTGAAATGATTTGCGGGTGGAGCGAGAAATTGATGCAAAGCTGAATAGAAACATTGAAGATGGACTTAGCAGCAGGCTTTGCGGCCAAGGCCCCATGACTCGGACTGCCATTTGTGAAAGCAAGCTAAACTTTCAGCTGTGGCAGGGGCAGAGTGGAGTAATATGTACCCCTGGTTTCATGTGTCTAGGTCTCTGTGGCACATTTTGTTTCCCGTGCCTTGGGTGTCAAGTTGCAGCTGATATGAATGAATGCTGTCTGTGTGGAACAAGCGTCGCAATGAGGACTCTCTACAGGACCCGATATGGCATCCCTGTGAGTCTCTTACCATACCATCTCACTCAAATATGCACCCCATTCAAAATAATTATTATAAACATGGAGATCATTTGATGTATACATCTTCTGAAATTGATTGATAAGAGTTCCCTAGCATGTGCAATCTTGCATTCAGTTGTAGCAACAGATCTTCTGGTTATGTGGCCTCCTTCTAGGTTTCTGCTGAAAACCTGAGAAAATTGATAACTCATATTTGCAATGGATGTCATACCATGGAAGAGGCTTATTTAGGATCTACTGTGGCGTGGATGCATTACATGTATTATCTCACTTAATCCTCACATCATCTCTGTAAAGTGGGTAGGTCCACAACATTTTGCCAAAGAGAACTTTAAAGTTTTAAGAGGTGGAGTAATTCCCTCAAAGATAATAGTAGAGAAAGAGTCGATACTCAATTCTAACTGTCCATTCATACACTTTCCATTACACCAACTCCACTTTGTGTAGGTGAGAGATTATATTACTTAGAGTCCTCCTAAGTGCATTAGAAACAGAACCAATAAGATTGGGAGTGGATGTGTGTATACACACATATATATATATACAGGCAAACCTCAGATATACAGGTTTAGTTCTAGACCACCACAATAAAGCAAATATTGCAATAAAGCAAGTCACATGAATTTTTTGGTTTCCCAGTGCACATAAAAGGTATGCTTATACTACACTATAGTCTGTTAAGTATGCAATAACATTATGTCTCAAAAAACAACATATGTACCTTAATTTTAAAATACTTTATGGCTAAAAAATACTAATAATAATCTATCTGAATCTTCAGCAATTCATAATGTTTTTGCCTGTGGAGGGTCTTGCCTCAGTGTTGGTGGCTGCTGATTGATCAGGGTGCTGGATACTGAAGGTTGGGGTGACTGTGGCAATTTCTTCAAGTAAGGCAACAATGGTCTGGGCGTGGTGGCTCACACCTATAATCCCAGCACTTCGGGAGGCCCAGGAGGGCTGATCACTTGAGGTCAGGAGTTAAAGACCAGCCTGGCCAACATGGTGAAACCCCTGTCTACTAAAAATATAGAAATTAGCCAGGCGTGGTGGCAGGTGCCTGTAATCCCAGCTACTTGGGAGGCTGAGGCAGGAGAATTGCTTGAACCCAGGAGGGAGGCTGCAGTGAGCCCAGATTGCGCCTCAGCACTCCAGCCTGGACAACAGAGCAAGACTCCATCTCAAACAAAACAAAACAAAAACAAAAAACAAATAAGGCAACAATGAAGTCTGCCTCATTGATTGACCATTCCTTTCATGAAAGGAAAGATTTCTATGCTATTTGGTAGCATTTTACCTACAATAGAACTTCTTTCAAAATTGGATTCAGTCCTCTCAAACCCTGTTACGGCTTTATCAACTAAGCTTATGGAATATTCTCAATCCTTTGTTGTTATTTCAACCATGGTCACAGCATCTTCACCAGGAGTTGATTCCATCTCAAGAAACCACTTTCTTTCTTTCTTTCTTTCTTTGTTGAGATGGAGTCTCACTCTGTTGCCAGGCTGGAGTGCAGTGGTGAGATCTCGGCTCACTGCAACCTCCGCCTCCCAGGTTCAAGCGATTCTCCTGCCTCATCCTCCCGAGTAGCTGAGATTACAGGTACCCGCCACCGTGCCCAGCTAATTTTTGTATTTTTAGTAGAGACAGGGTTTCACCATGTTGGCCAGGATGGTCTTGATCTCTTGACCTTGTGATCCGCCCGCCTCGGCCTCCCACAGTGCTGGGATTACAGGCAGAAGCCACCGCGCCCAGCCTCAAGAAATAGCTTTCTTTTTTTTTTTTTTAAAGGGAGTCTTGCTCTGTCACCCAGGCTGGAGTGCAGTGGCGCCATCTCGGCTCACTGCAAGCTCCGCCTCCCAGATTCACGCCATTCTCCTGCCTCGGCCTCCTGAGTAGCTGGGATTACAGGTGCCCGCCACTACGCCCGGCTAATTTTTTGTATTTTTAGTAGAGACGGGGTTTCACCGTGTTAGCCAGTATTGTCTCAATCTCCTGACCTCATGATCCGCCCGCCTCGGCCTCCCAAGGTGTTGGGATTACAGGCGTGAGCCACCGCGCCCGGCCAAGAAACAGCTTTCTTTGCTCATCCATAAGAAGTAGCTCCTCAAGTTTTATCATGAGATTGCAGCAATTCAGTGACATCTTTAGGATCCATTTCTAATTCTAGTTCTCTTGCTATTTCTACCACATCTGTAGTTACTTTCTCTACTGAAGTCTTGAACACCTCAAAGTCATCCATGAGGGATAGAATCAACTTCTTCCAATCTCCTTTACTGTTGATATTTTGATCTCCCCCCAGGAATCATGAATGTTTTTCTGTTTTGTTTTTTGAGACAGGGTCTCACTCTGTCACCCAGGCTGGAGTGCAGTGGCGCCGTCTCGGCTCACTGCAGCCTTCCCCTCCCAGGTTCAAGCAATTCTCCCACCTCAGCCTCCTGAGTACCTGGGGCTATAGATGTGCAGCATCACACCCAGTTAATTTTTTATTTTTATTTTTTGGTAGAGATGGGTTTTTACCATGTTGGCCAGGCTGGTCTCGAAACTCCTGACCTCAAGTGATCCGCCTGCCTTGGCCTCCCTAAGTGCTGAGATTACAGCTGTGAGCCACCACACCTGGCCAGGAATCATGAATGTTCTTAATGAAACCTAAAATTATTAATCATTTCCACAAGATTTTCAATTTATTTTCCCTAGATCCATCAGAGGTATCACTGTCTATGGCAGCTACAGCCTTCAAAAGTGTTTTTTTTTTTAAATAATAAGACTTGAAAATCAAAATTACTCCTTGATTGGCTGCAGAATAGGTGTTCTTTTAGAAGGCATGAAAATAACATTAATCTCTTTGTATGTCTTCATCAGAGTTCTTGGATGTCTAGGTACATTGTTAGTGAACAGTAATATTTTGAAAATAATCTTTCTTTGTGAGTATAGGTTTCAGTTGTGGGCTTAATATTTGGTAAACAATGCTGTCAACACGTGCTGTCATCAGGTTTTGTGGTTCCATTTATAGAGCACAGGCAGATTTAGCATAATTATTTTTTTTTCTCATGGGGTAGGGGAAAGAAAAGTGATTAGAATAATTCTTAAGGGCTCTAGGATTTTGCAAATAGTAAATGAGCATTGGCTTCAACTTAAAGTCACCAGTTGCATTATCTCCTAACAAGAGAGTCAGCCTGTCTTTGGCACCTTTGAATACAGGCACGGACTTCTCCTTTCTAACTTTGAATTTCCTTGATGGCATCTTCTTCCAATAAGGCTGTTTCATTTTCATTGAAAATCTGTTTTTTAGCGTAGCCACCTTAATCAATTATCTTAGCTAGGCCTTCTGGATAACTTGCCACACCTTCTCCATCAGCACTTGCTGCTTCGCCTTGTGCTTTTATGTTACGGAGAAGACATCTTTCCTTAAACCTCATGAAGCAACCTCTTTTAGCTTCAGACTTTTCTTTTGCAGCTTTCTTTTTTGTTGTTGTTTTTGTTTTTGTTTTGAGATGCAGTCTCGCTCTGTCGTCAGGCTGGAGTGCAGTGGGGCACGATCTTGGCTCACTGCAAACTCTGCCTCCCGGGTTCAAGCGATTCTCCTGCCTCAGCCTCGCCAGTAGCTGGGATTACAGGCCCGTGCCGCCACACCCAGCTAATTTTTTTGTATTTTTAGTAGAGACGGGATTTCACCATGTTGGTCAGGATGGTCTCAATCTCCTGACCTCGTGATCTGCCCAACTCGGCCTCCCAAAGTGCTGGGATTATAGGCATGAGCCACCACGCCCAGCTTCTTCTGCAGCTTTGTCTCTCTTATCCTTCATAGAACCCGAAGAGCACTGGGGCCTTGCTGTGGATTAGGCTTTGACTTATGGGAATGTTGTGGCTGGTTTGGTCTCCTATCCAGACCACTCAAACTTTCTCCAGATTAGCAATAAGGTTGTTTTGCTTTCCTATCATTTTTATGTTCACCGGAGTAGCATGTTTAATTTCCTTCAAGAACTTTTCCACTGCATTCACAACTTGGCTAACCATTTGGCACAAGAGGACTAGCTTTCAGCCTCTCTCTGGTTTCAATATGTTTTTCTCACTAAGCTTAATTATTTCTAGCTTTTGATTTAAGTAGGAGATATGTGACTCTTCCTTTCATTTGAACATTTAGAGGCCATTGTAGGGTTATTGGTTGACCTAATTTCAGTATTGTTGTGTCTCAGGGAATAGAGAGGCCCAAGGAGAGGAAGAGAGATAGGAGAACAGAACAGCTGGTCAGTGGAGCAGTCAGAATACACACATTTATCAATTAAATTTGCTGTCGGTATTAGTCCGTTCTCGCATTGCTATAAAGAAGTACCTGAGGCTGGGTAACTTATAAAGAAAAGGTTCTCGCATTGCTATAAAGAAGTACCTGAGACTGGGTAATTTATAAAGAAAAGAGGTTTAATTGGCTCATGGTTCCACAGGCTGTACAGGAAGCATAGTGGCATCTGCTTCTAGGGAGACCTGTGGAAGCTTACAATTATGGCAGAAAGCAAAGGGGGAGCCAGCACTTCACATGACTGGAGCAGGAGGAAGGGAGACAGAGGTGCTACACATTTTTTTTTTTTTTTTTGAGATGGAGTCTCGCTCTGTCACCCAGGCTGGAGTGCAGTGGCACGATCTTGGCTCACTGCAAGCTCCACCTCCTGGGTTCACGCCATTCTCCTGCCTCAGCCTCCCAAGTAGCTGGGACTACAGGAGCCCGCCACCACGCCTGGCTATTTTTTTGTATTTTTAGTAGAGACGGGGTTCCACCGTCTAGGCAGGATGTTAGGCAAGATGGTCTCGATCTCCTGACCTTGTGATCTGCCCGCCTCGCGCGCCCGGCAGTTTTTTGTTTTTTTTTTTTGAGACAGAGTCTCGCTCTGTCACCAGGCTGGAGTGCAGTGGTATGATCTCGTCTCACTGCAACCTCTGCCTCCCAGGTTCAAGCAATTTTCCTGCCTCAGCCTCCTGAGTAGCTGGGAGTACGGGTGTGCGTCACCACACCCATCTAATTTTTTTTTTTTTTTGTATTTTTAGTAGAGATGGGGTTTCACCATGTTGGCCAGGATGGTCTAGATTTCTTGACCCTGTGATCCGCCTGCCTTGGCCTTCCAAAGTGCTGGGATTACAGGTGTGAGCCACCATGCCCAGCCTCTGCTACACACTTTTAAACAACCAGATCTCACGAGAACTCACGCACTATTGGAACACAGTACTAAAGGGAAAATCTGCTGCTATGATCCAGTCACCTCCCACCAGGCCCCACCTCCAACATTGGGGATTACATTTGATGTGAGATTTGGGTGGGGACAACATCCAAACTATATCACCATCTTATATGGATGGGTGCAGTTCATGGTGCCCCAAAATAAATAGTAACATCAAACTCTTAATGATCACAGGTGGCCATAACAGATATAATAAGAATGAAAAAAATTGAAATATTGCAAGAATTTCCAAACTGTGACACAGAGACATGAAGTGAGCACACGCTATTGGAAAAAATGGCACCCTTAGACTTGCTTGATGCAGGGTTGCCACAAACCTTCAATTTGTAAATGCAGTGAGCCAAGATTGCATCATTGTACTCCAGCCTGGACAAGAATGAAACTCCATCTCAAAAAAAAAAAAAGTTATAGCTGATTATAAAATCATCTTTTAAAGAGGACCAAAGTGAGAAAACAATTGTCTGTGGATGACAAAAACATTTTAGGGCAGCCACAGTTAAAGGCACAATTGACAAGGAAATTTACTTCTGTGGCACACAGTCATTTAACATAATAATTATAATTATTATTGTTAACATATACTAAGTCATATTAGAATTATAGCAGTTTTATATAATTTTGGAACATACACCAATAACACATTTACACAAATATAGACCAAAGAAAGTCATTTGATATTTGACAATGCTTCCTGTATGATTTTTGTACCAAATAAGCCATTTTGAGACTTTAGAGGACCTAATATCTAAATATTAGGTTAGAAAGAGACATAATTTATAATTTGATTTTGGAAAGCTTGTCAAATATCAAAGGTTTAAAACACCAGATATCACAAAATAGAATCCCAAGTCACCATAAGTCATTCATTTGGCAAAAATAACTCAAAAAAATTAAAAAAAAAAAAACCTTTATTCTGATAGAGGAGACTTAGCTTTCCAAACAAGACTCAATGAAGATAGCATGAAGCCAGCTGAATCTGTCTCTTCTTTCTGTCCTCCTTTTTTTCCCTGCCATTTACCCAAAGGAGAAAACAAAACTCTTTCATTATCTTTTAACATTACATAAAAATCATCTTTGAAAGAGAAAACCAAATTTCATGTTTGCATTAGTGCATCTTTGGTGCTAAAGCTAGTTTTTACATAAAATTGTATATATCTATCCAGTTTTAATTAGTTTGACCATAAGGTAAGATTTTCATAAACTTTTTAGAACGCTTTATAATTTTCCATCAAACAGAAGATCCATTTTCTAAGAAAACCCTGTTATTTGGACACATGGGCCCAGATTCTGGCCCCACAGCAGTGTGATTTTAATGTTTTAACCTATGGAAAAATGCTAAATAATTTTTTTTAGCTCTTGGCCAACTTGTTTATACCCACAGAATTTTTTACAAGATCAACCCTTTACAAACCCTTTTCACTTTGCTTAAACCTTCAGTTTCGTCCCGTTAGTCTTTTAGGTTAAGACAATCTTTAAAACCCTCAGGCCCGGCGCGGTGGCTCACGCCTGTAATCCCAGCACTTTGGGAGGCCGAGGTGAGCAGATCACAAGGTCAGGAGATTGGGACAATCCTGGCCAACATGGTGAAACCCCATCTCTACTAAAAATACAAAAATTAGCTGAGCATGATGGCGCGCACCTGCAGTCCTGGCTACTCGGGAGGCTATGATAGGAGAATCACTTGAACCCGGGAGGCGGAGGTTGCGGTGAGCCGAGATCACGCCACTGCACTCTAGCCTGGTGGCAGAGCGAGACTCCATCTCAAAAAAAAAAAAAAAAACCCTCAAAACTAGACAAAATTACATTCCGTTTAACAAAAGCCATATTCCTATGCCTTCTTATAATCTTTTACCAAAAACACATTCCCTACACACCTTTATGTAAAACTGTTTCTCCAGTGGTCTCAATTACATGTTACCATATTAACTCTTAGCAACTTTTATTTTTAGTGAAAACTCTGATAAGTAAGATATTTTAATTATGTATTAGGGGTGGAGCCTAGGACATTAGACAGAAATGAAGATAAGGTCAGACTCTTTTTAGCATAGCTAGCGGGCATGGCTCTCCATATGTCCCCAGGCCTTATATATTATCTAAGCCTCCAAAGTAGGTAAATCAAACAATTTTCAAAAGTCAAAGAAACAGCTTGACCTTAAAGCATTTAGCAAATCTGACCTTAATTTAGGGCAAATGTCTACATTTTCAAGACAACTTATTTTACCAATAATCTTTAAAACTGTCCTTATTTCCAAAAGATTACTAAAGCCATGTGAACAAAAAGGCGTTAAAGTTTCTATTTTTCTGACAAAATATTTTATTTAAGTGCTTTTTTCCTAAGCCAATTAATCAGAGCTCTTTTATATATAAACATCACACACACACACACATACACACCCACACACACACACACCCCACATGTAAATAGAGACAGACAGAAGATTGGGCACTTGTAAGATTTTTCATTTGCCAATTTCTTAATTGGATGACCGGCTTCAGGGTGGAGCTCTTGGAGGAATAGAGCTGGGACAGCATGCGTTTCTAGGACCAAATAAGTAGCAAATAAACAGCTGAAGGCAAGACAGATCTCCAAAGTTAAAGGTACCGTTTTATACTGGTTTCTCCATCCCCAAAAGGAGGGAAATACTACGGGAGAAGACGGTGCAGTGCTTTTACTGACTGTGCATTTCATTGCAAAGCAACCCAAAGCCAATCAGCCCATTTTGTAATCAGCCCATCTTCATGAGAGTCTCATCTCCTAGTGAGGGGTGAGGATGTTGGATGGTGGAAACCAAAAGAAAGTATCCCCATATGGTCACAAGATTTAGCTCTGAAGGACACAAAACAAGACATAGAAATTTCTTACAGTATTGGCTATCATATATCAAGTAGGAAAAATAAGTTATAGGATAGTATGACCTCATTTTTAAAAAACAAACGAACTCCTGAAATGCCAAACTCTATATGTCTATGTCCATAGCTGTATCTTCGTCTAATCTATATTTATATGAGTCATAGGCATAGAACAAAATCTAAGGAAAGAGCCTACACAGCAAATTATTAATAGGTTATCTCTGGTAGTGACATTGGGTAGAAAGGGATTAGATTGTTATTTTTCACTTAATATTGTTCTGTGTTTCAATTTGTCATTAAAATTATCTATAGCATGCATTTAAAATTGTTTTAATTTTTATTTAAATTTTGTTCACAAGTGTTGTCAATAAGCATTTTTTTTTTGTAATTCACAAAATGATAAATATTTTTAAGTGAAAATAGAAAATAGTTTCAGCTAGGTGCAGCTGAGCATGCCTGCAGTCCTAGCCTGAAACTCTTTTTCAGGAGGCTGAGGTGGTGAAACTGCCTTTGCAAAATTATGACTGAGACAGTGAAAGAGATCTAACTTAACTGACTCCATCTTACTTCTAACCGCCAAGCTGTCCTTGTTCATTCCTGGGTGTAGGCTGAACCAACTTTGGGAGAAACGTAGTTTATAGTTTAAACAAACATGGTAATAGCCCTTTCCCAAAGCAGACCTCCCTTTTGCCTGGGGAATAGATTGCCTTTGGAGGACTAACATTAGCCACAAGATTAAAATTATAGTTTAGAAGTCATGGAGCTGGAGGCTACAAGATTCTGACCCTCCCTGAACTGTTACTAAGATCAGTGCTTAACATCGTTTGCAGACCCTGCGCTTGATGGAGATGAGGGTTCATCTAGTGCCCTGCCCGTGACTGTGTTCAGTTTCAAGTCCATTAAATGCCAGGAATGTAAATGCCACTGTTTTCTAATGCAGCTTTAATTTTTTTATTTATCAAAACCCTGAAACGAAGTGTTTTTAAAATCATCTAATTTTACAAAGTAGTCCCCAAAAGTTTCTTCCTTACTTCTTCCCTAGAGCTGATGTCTTGGGAATTTTCCTCCATATCTCCAAATCACACACTTGTATTGCTACTTCTTGACTTTTAGTTAGAGGCATTATCTGTTAACCTCCCACTAGGGAAGATGTGAATTTAGTTCTATTTTCTCCTCCTCCCGCACTACACACATGTGCCCTCTCCCCCTACCCCTTTCTTTCCCATATAGTTATATGGTTAATTCCATATTCAGTGTTTACATTTTGATACTTATATTTGTTTTATTCAACTTCAGAGCTGAGTCATATAGTAAATATGATTGCTTTTTCTGCTTAATTTTGTTTTTCCTGGTATTGGTAATTATTGAGTTTTTGTTAGTATTTTTCCTCTATTTACTTATGAGTCCTTTAACCCCAAATTGTTTGCCAGTTTTCTGAATTTCTTCCCAACAACTTCAACACATAGATGTTTTATCATTTTCATCTTCATGATGAAATCACTTCCAGTCCTACTACCTTTTAAACTAGTTGCCCATTATTCCTAGTGCTTAGCTCTCATCCTGGGATCTGCCTTCACCATGACCCTGGAGATTCCATTAGCTTCTCTCCTGTATTAGACTCCTTCTTCTTATCTTCCTCTTTCTTGGTTTACACCCGCATTTTGGTGGAACACATCCCCTACTAGCTTCCTATGACAGAGAGGAGGTCCAGGAGAAAAGAGTTTTGAAATTCTACTTCCCAAGGATATTTAACTCTCATACTTGATAGTTTGGTTGGACATCTCCTTACATTTTCAGAAACGTAAAGTATAGAAAAATATTTTCCGTCATAAAATGAGACAACATTTATGTGAAAAAGTGAGGTAATATTTTCCTAAATGTATCCATCCAAACTCTGAATCTGAAAGATCAGTGCCTTCTGCTTCTCTTCAAGATGTGGCAAGTCTTAATTCCAAATAGGTGAATTTTATATTTTTATTTCTTTTTGGTTTTCAAACAGGGATCTATTTGTGATGACTATATGGCAACTCTTTGCTGTCCTCATTGTACTCTTTGCCAAATCAAGAGAGATATCAACAGAAGGAGAGCCATGCGTACTTTCTAAAAACTGATGGTGAGTCAATGCAAACATGCCTCTCAGAACATGTGGGTTTTTAGAAATATCACTAAAGACTTTGTCAATTATTTGTTGTTTTGAATAATTCAGCAATAACTATTTCTTAAGTCTCCTGAAGTGCTATCATAATATCAAGATTGGCTTTAATTTTCTTCTTATGAAGAAGATAGCTCTATACTTTGAAACCATATTTTAGTAAATAAAGGAATGGTGAATTTTCTAAACTTCTCAGAATTCTGGTGATCTATTAAGGAAGCACTTACCACTTGTAAAATACCAGAGTATGGTGAGATACAAAAGAATTAGAAAACATGTTCCCTGCTAAGACAAACAAGTTGACAAAAGGAATTCGTAAATAATTATAAAATAGAAGAGTAAAGAAAATAACATTCTGTATGATATTTGGATTGATTGTGGCATAAAGCATCTATCATAGCAAGGTGAGGTTAAATAGAAAACTCCTGTTGGAGAAGCTGAACTTTGAAAGAGGTGAACATAGAATTTAGAATGTTTGGAAATGTTATATAGAATTAACCATCTGAAATTCAATCAAGTCATTTTCAACTAATTTTTCTCAGGACTATCTATTGAGGATGTAGTTAAGTAGAAATCAACATGACTTACTCCATCCCCTGTAGAATATATATTAAGTATGGGAAGAACACAATTTTTCTACTCTTTGTAATATCCAGTTTCCTTCCTGAAGTGATAAGGACTCTGTATGGGTTAATAAAAATAACTCTTGGGAGATACGTAAAAAAATGTTCATTTACTTAGCAAGTAATGTATTAAGGATCTAGGATCAAGTATATATTATCTTAGCAACTAATGTATCAATGTATCAATATCTAAGACTAGGTAAGATACTGTTAGGTATTGTAGTAGGGTTGGGGAGCAAGATAAATAAGCTAGTCCCTCTGTCATTATAGAATTTATACGAAAAAGGGGGATTAGACAAACCCCTAACTAAAATGCAGAATTCAATTAATGCCTATAGACAAAGCGGTATTTTATGTTCAGAGGAGGAAAAGATCACATCTTGTAAGATGTATAGGTGAAAGTTTCTTGAAAGCAGTGATTTTTAATTCTAAAGGGGAAGTGCGTATTAGTTCTCAACAAGAAACAGATGGCACTCAAACTGTGATAGTTCAAAGATTTAATGAAGACTAATTATAAAGGTGTGGGTGGGGCATTGTAGGGAGATGACAAGGGATGGCATAATAACCTGCCTGGCAACAGCCCCAGGGAGGAGAAGAGGGAGCAGTGACCTGAATCCTTAAGGAGAGAGCTGTGTGAAGAGGCCTGCCCTGAAAGAAACAGTATCCTCTCAAGAGAGGGTTGTGAGCAGCCCGAGGCAACCCATAGAACTGAAAAAGTACCCTGACCTCACTTTCGGATGTCCTTCTGGTTTTCCCATTGGCTGAACCCACCAGAAAGGCAGAGGGCAGCAAAGTGTCACGGTAGTCCGCAGGTCGCTTCCCAGGGCACACAGCAGGATGGTCAAGGGAGTAAGTAAATCAGATAGGGGCAAACAGAGGATCACTGACTCAAGATGTGGTTTTAATTAATAGAAATGGAGGCTGAGTGCAGTGGCTCACACCTGTGATCCCAGCACTTTGGGAGGCCAAGGCAAGAGGACTGCTTGAACCCAGGAGTTCAAGACCAGCCTGGGGAACATGTTGAAACCCTGTCTCTTGAAAAAATACAAAAATTAGCTAGGTGTGGTGGTGCACGCCTGTAGTCCCAGATACTTGGGAGGCTGAGGTGGGAGGATCACTTGAGCCTGGGAGGTAGAAGCTGCAGTGAGCTATGATCACACCACTGCACTCCAGCCCTGTCTCAAAAAAAAAAAAAAAAAAAAAAAGGAAAAGAAAAAGAAAAGAAATGAAATGTTGCTTCTAATCAGCAATATTAATGAAACTAGAGAGGCAAAAACAGAGAAAATATCTTTATGAGCTTAGGTCCAACTTGGCTAGAACATATGGCATAAGTAGAAAAATAACGAAAAATAAAAGATTTTAAAGGCCTTAGCATGCGATGTCTGAATACTAAGCTAATGACTTGGTAGGAATTGGGAAATTATTGCAGGCTTGAAGTAAATGAATAGAACTACTCTTTAGAAATATGAATCTAAGGCTGGGCATGGTGGCTCATGCCTATAATCCCAACACTTTGGGAGACCGAGGTGGGAGGATCACTTGAGCTCAGGAGTTCAGCACCAGCGACCAGCCTGGGCAACATAGCAAGACCTCATCTCTACTAAAAAGTAAAAATAAAAATAAATAAAATTTTAAAATAATAAATATTAATCTAATAATAGTATATAGTACAGATTGTACAGGATGAGGCCAGAAGCAAAGATGGGGAGTTAGATCATTCCAACACTGTTTACTTAAATAAATACATGAAACAATTTGGATCAAATATCTACCCACACATTCATAGTAATGAGTCCTGATAGCTCAAGTGTTTTCTTTAACCTCAGGGAAAATATCTCACTGAATCTTTAGGTGGGTTTGAAGTAAAATACCTTGGCGGTCCTGACTCCTCCTCATCAACTTGGACCCTACATCACTCACTGGCAATAAAACTTTAGACAAACAGATATCGAAATGGGGAGCTAAACAAGAGAGAAAGAGCAAGGAATAACAACATGATTTACGTTAAAATAGATTGAGATGAAGGACATAGGAATCCACTGGAAAAGCTCCCCATAGTCCAAACTGGGGCACTTTGAGGAACAAAATAAGGTCGTGTTAGATTATAACCCAAAGTATAAAATATCTATGAGTTTGTGCTGACATAAATGACTGAATAAAATTTGAAAATTGAAAAAAAGTATGTATGTTGAAAGCAGGGAAAACTGGGAATTTTGAGAGCAAAGAAGTGGCAGGAGAATTTCTGTATGGGAGAAGAGACACATCTCCCATATGGAACTCCAAATATTTAGGTAGATACTCCTTCCTCAAGGAGAGCGGCATGATTCCCCACCCTGAAGTGGGGGTTTGCATAGTGACTTCCTTCCAAAAAGTACAGCATGAAAAGTACAGCATGCAAGTGCACTCTCTATACTGTATGGAGTAACTCCACAATGGAGAAACCTGACACAATGACCTGAGCCAGGTAATCAACGTCACCATCATTGGTAATAAGTCATATTGATAGTTTGCACCCCTGATTTGATGTGATGAGAATGGCACTTTACCTTTGTGGTCTTCTCCCCAAAACCTCTTAACTCCAGTCTAACCATGAGAAAAACATCAGACAAACCTAAACTGAGGCACATTCCACAAAATACCTGACTACTCCTCCTGAAAACTGTCAGGGTCATCAAAAACAAGGAAAGGCTGAGAAACAGTCACAGTTTAGAGGAGCCTAAGAGAAGATGACAATTAAATGTAATGTGGTATGCTGGATGAGATGCTGGAACAGAAAATTAAAGTAGGTAAAAACTGAGTAATCTGAAGGTAGTATGGGCTTTGATTAGTAGTAATGCATCAGTATGGGTTCATTAGTTTTGACAAACCTCCCATGGTAATGTAAGATGTTAACCAACAGGAAAATTGGGTGCCAGATACATGAGAGCTCGCTGTACTATCTTTGCAACTTTTCCGTCAATCAAAAATGATTCTGCAATTAAAAGTTTATTAAAAATTATAAAAGTACCTTAAGAAAATTCAAAACTCTTGTGTGTCCTTTATAGGTGAAAAGCTCTTACCGAAGCAACAAAATTCAGCAGACACCTCTTCAGCTTGAGTTCTTCACCATCTTTTGCAACTGAAATATGATGGATATGCTTAAGTACAACTGATGGCATGAAAAAAATCAAATTTTTGATTTATTATAAATGAATGTTGTCCCTGAACTTAGCTAAATGGTGCAACTTAGTTTCTCCTTGCTTTCATATTATCGAATTCGAATTTCCTGGCTTATAAACTTTTTAAATTACATTTGAAATATAAACCAAATGAAATATTTTACTGATAAGATTCTTCATGCTTCTTTGCTCTCCTTAAAATGTCTTTTTCACTAGTTAGTTCCAAGGGTCAGTCTCATAATTTTGTTCTTATACTTTGATTTCCTTTTTCTTTTTTTTTTTTTTTAATAGAGTTGGGGGATCTTTCTTTCTTTTTTTTTTTTTTTTTTTGAGATAGAGTCTCGCTCTGTTGCCCAGGCTGGAGTGCAGTGGCGTGATCTCAGCTCACTGCAACCTCCACCTCCTGGATACAAGCGATTCTGCTGCCTCAGTCTCCCGAGTAGCTGGGATTACAGGTTCCCGCCACCATGCCCAGCTAATTTTTGTATTTTTAGTAGAGACGGGGTTTCACCATCTTGGTCAGGCTGGTCTCGAACTCCTGACCTCGTGATCCACCTGCCTCGGCATCACAAAATGCTGGGATTACAGGCATGAGCCACCGCGTCCAGCCTAGAGTTGGGGGTCTTTCTATGTTGCCCAGGCTGGTCTTGAACTCCGGGCCTCTAGCAAGCCTCTCATCTCAGCCTCCCAAGGTGCTGGAATTACAGGTGTGAGCCACTGCACCATACTTTGGTTTCTTAGCAGGAGATTTTGGTTCACAGTAACCCAGCTCTCTTTCATCTAAGAACTTTAGATGAGAAAAAAAAAAAATAGACTACAGATAACTATTCCCAGGCAGTTATGGTACATTTAGCCAACACTTTTGCCTCTTCTCATGTTATCTGTTAGTATTAATGCTGACAAAGCAAGATTTTTTGCGAAACAACACACCAAGCCTTGCTTTTACACTGCATTCCTCAGGAGGTTGTTTATTGTGTTGTTGATTTTCTTTCCCTTTTGAATATGAGATATCAGAGTAAGAAAACTCTGATCAGAGTTTTCTGAAAACTCTTATCAGAGTAAGAAAAATTTGATCAATGATCAAATTCAGTGACTCAATTTTGGTTAAATTTTATCCATCAATAGATGGATAAAAGTGTAAAATGATTTTTTTCACATTTCTTGTCCCATTTGATCCGTCAGCATCATTTTGCCCTGATGAAAATCTCACTTCCTAATTTCCCCTAGTTCTCCTCCTACACTTCTGATTCCATTTCATTTGTTGGGGTGGGGGAAGTAAGAGGCAAAACTATTTATCTTATACACTTATTGTGAAATCTCAGTGAGACAAAATGTCAAAGCACCTGGAACTTAGTAGGCACTCAACAAATTCAAGCACTCTGCCCTTTCCTCCACTTACCCTATAGCTGTGGGTGCTTTGCAGGGTTCTAGCTTGAGTCCACTCCTTTCACATCTCACGTTCCTAGATAGCATCATCTACTCCCATGGTTCTAACTGCCTCTTAGGACCCCAAAGTCTGTACTTCCAGTTTCTCCCTTACTATTGATCTTCAGAATGTCTCTCTTGCTAGCTGTGAAAATGAGTCCATCTGGATGTCCCCTAGACCTTGTCTACCCAACAAGTCCAATGATATCACTTAGTTGTTCAAGGTGAAAAATCCAGGTACCAATGACCCCTGAATTGCCTCATCGCACCTTTCTCCTTTTCCCCGATATCCAATCAGACACCCACTCTGTCACCGATACTCCACTTGAAAGCCCCAAGGGGTGATCTATTTTGTTTGCTGCTGTATTCCCAGTGCCTAGAACAATGCCTGACACCAGTAGGTATCTACTCAATCATTTTGTTTGCTGCTGTATTCCCAGTGCCTAGAACAATGCCTGACACCAGTAGGTATCTACTCAATCACTTATTGAATGAATTAATCTGTCCTCTCCTCTTTGCTGACATAAATGTAGTCCAAACCTTATTACCTCTTTGGCAAATCATGTTCATACCCTCTAAACTAACCTTCCTGCCTCTAGAAACTCCAGCTTCCCTTGCCTTCTCTCCAGTCCATCCTATACACTGTGTACCATGAGTTAAATTGTGAATTTTTTGTTCTTTTCTTTTTCTTTTTCTTTCTTTCTGTTTTTTTTTTTTTTTTTTTTTTTTTTTTTTTTTTTTTTGAGACATAGTTTCGCTCTTGTTGCCCAGGCTGGAGTGCAATGGCGTGATCTCTGCTCACTGCAACCTCCACCTCCCGGGTTCAAGCAATTCTCCTGCCTCAGCCTCCTGAGTAGCTGGGAATACAGGCATGTGCCACCACCCCAGTTAATTTTGTATTTTTGGTACAGACACGGTTTCTCCATGTTGGTCAGGCTGGTCTTGAACTCCTGACCTCAGGTGATCCACCTGCCTCGGCCTCCCAAAGTGCTGGGATTACAGGCATGAGCCACTGCGCCCAGCCAAATTGTGAATTTTCTAAAACAAACAGACCCCAGTATTTTCCTTGGTTCTTCACAGTGTAGCCTCATTTTACCTCTTTAGCCCACTCTCCTGCCAATTCTTCACTCATAAAATTCCCAATCTTCCCTGCCTTCAACATACATACTTTTTTAAAATTTCAAATTCCAATTGTTCATTGCTGGTATATAGGAAAGCAATTGACTTTTGTACATTAACCTTATATCCTGTGACCTTGCCATAACTGCTTATTAGTTTCAGGAGACTTTTTGTATGTGTTTCTATATAGACAATCATGTTGACTGTGAACAAAGACAGTTTTATTCCTCCTTCCCAATCTGTATAAAGCTACATTTCCTTATCTGGTCTTATTAGCTAGGATTCTGGTATGATATTAAATAGGAACATGAGAGTAAACATCTTTGCCTTGTTCCTGACCTAGGGGAAAATCATATAGTCTCTCATCATTAAGTATGATGTAGGTTTTTTGTAGATATTCTGTATATGATTGATGAAGATCCCCTCTATTTCAAGTATACTGAGCATTTTTTTTTTTTTTGAAATGGAGTCTTGCTCTGTCGCCCGGGCTGGAGGGCAGTGGCGCGGTCTCAGCTCACTGCAAGCTCTGCCTCCCAGGTTCACGTCATTCTCCTGCCTCAGCCTCCTGAGTAGCTGGGACTACAGGCGCCTGCCACCACGCCCGGCTAATTTTTTTGTATTTTTAGTAGAGACGGGGTTTCACTGTGTTAGCCAGGATGGTCTTGATCTCCTGACCTCGTGATCCACTCACCTTGGCCTCCCAAAGGGCTGGGATTACAGGCGTGAGCCACCGCACCCAGCCTTTTTTTTTTTTTTTTTTAATTAGAGACGGGGTCTTGTTTTGTTGCCCAGGCTGGTCTCAAACTCCCGAGCTCAAGTGATCCTCCTGCCTTGGCCTCCAAAAGTGCTGGGATTACATGCATACCTGGCCTACTGAGCATTTTTATCTTGAATGAGTGTTGGATTTTGTCAAATGCTTTTTCTGTACCTATTAATACAATCATGATTTTTTCCTCTTTAGTATGTTGATATGATGGGTTACATTAATTGATTTTCAAATGTTGAATCAGTCTTGCATACCTGGAATAAATCCCACTTGGTCATAATATATCATTCTTTTTACACATTATTGCATTTGATTTGCTAATATTTTGTTAAGGATTTTTGCATCTATGTTTATGAGAGACTGTAGTTTTCCCTTTCTTGTCATGTCTTTATCTGATTTTAGTATTAGAGTAATGCTGGTCTCCTAGAGTCAGTTAGGGTGTGTTCCCTTAGCTTCTATTTTTTTGGAAGCTATTGTAGAGAATTGGTATGATTTCTTTCTTAGAAAAAAAATTTTAAGGAAATATTTCTGGGTCAAAGATTTATTTCTTAAATGTTTGATCAATCATCAGTGAACCCATCTAAGCCTGGTGCTTTCTATTATAGAAGGTTATTAGTTATTGATTTAGTTTAACAGGTATAGGCCTATTCAAATTTTCTATTTCTCCTTGTGTGAGTTATGGAACACTATTCCTTTCAAAGAACTGGCCCATTGCATGGGTTTGGGCCATAATCCCAAAAGACACAATCTTGAATGTTATAATCCCAAATGATGAAATCCTGAAAGATCAAAATCCCTGAAGTCCAAAATCCCCAAAATTCCAATCCCAAATGATTAAAATCCTGAAAATATAATTCTTGACAAAATAATTTTAAAAATTCTTTAAAATTCTTTATTTATATTTTTTAAAGGAGATTTGAGAAACATAAAAACACAACAGAGCACTTCATAGACCATTTTAGACAATAAAACAGGAAATAATAACATACTTTTTTTATTTTTATTTTTTATTGAGACAGGGTCTCACTTTGTCACCCAGGCTGGAGTGCAGTGGTACAATCTCAGCTCACTCCAACCTCCGCCTCCTGGGCTCAAGTGTTAATTTTTGTATTTTTACTACAGACAGGGTTTCACTATGTTGGCCAGGCAGGTCTCCAACTCCTAACCTCAAGTGATCCGCCCACTTCAGCCTCTCAAAGTCAGGGATTACAGGTGTGAGCCACTGTGCCCGGCCTCCTCAGTCCATTTTTAATACTGAAGGTATAAATTGTATAAAGATGTTTAGAAAGTTCTAATTCATTTTATGCATTTTTGCAAATTTGACTCCATGAAAGTGCATTATCACGAAGCTGAATTTGTGTAAGCATTGTGCATGTATGTAAAAACATTGCAACTTCCTCAATAAAATATCTTCTTTTTGTACATCCATATTTGTGAAAGATAAAATATTTTGAGATCTTGGCTTTTTGGGCAACTGCATGTGTGGTGGTAACTCACTGCGGATTTTTATTGATTTTGTCAAAAGACTTATATTGTCCATCTTGGTATTTCAGATGACCACAGTTATAAAGTTGAGTGCACACAATTACCAATCATATATGTTAATACATTTTACTTTTTGGCCTATTTCTTTATGAATACAGTTCATCTACTCATAACTCTTATACTTATGAGACTGTTGTTAGGATACCTGAATGTTTATGCTTGCAAAGATACGTGTATTATTGGCCGGGTGTGGTGTGGCTCATACCTGTAATTATAGCACTTTGGGAGGTCGAGGTGGGAGGATCACTTGAACCCAGGAGTTAGGGACTAACCTGGGCAATATAAAATAAATATATTGTAGAGTTGAGGCCTACGGGGCTTAGCAGGTGTTCTCGCCATGTACGGAGATGAGAGATTGTAATAAATAAAGACACAGGACAAAGAGATAAAGAGAAAACAGCTGGGCCCAGGGGACCACTACCATTAAGACACGGAGACAGGTAGTGGTCCCGAATGGCTGGGCACGCTGATATTTATTGCATACAAGACCAGGGGGCAGGGTAAGGAGGGTGAATCTTCTAAGTGATTGACAAGTTGAAGCAAGTCATGTGATCATAGGACAGGGGGCCCTTCCCTTTTAGGTAGCTGAAGCAGAGAGAAGGTGGCATACATCAGCGTTTTCTTCTATGCACTTATAAGAAAGGTCAAAGACTTTAAGCCTTTCACTATTTCTTCTACCGTTATCTACTACGAACTTCAAAGAGGAACCAGGAGTGCTGGAGGAGCATGAAAGTGGACAAGGAGCGTGACCACTGAAGCACAGCACCACAGGGAGGGGTTTAGGCCTCCGGATAACTGTGGGCAGGCCTGGATAACATCCAGCCTCCCACAAGAAGCTGGTGGAGCAGAGTGTTCCCTGACTCCACCAAGGAAAGGAGACTCCCTTTTGCGGTCTGCTACGTCGTGGGTGTCTTCCCAGACACTGGCATTACCGCTTGACCAAGGAGCCCTCAAGCGGCCCTTATGCGGGCGTGACAGAAGGCTCAGCTCTTGCCTTCTAGGTAACTTGTCACAATGTGCTTTCAGCACCTGACCCTATACCCGCTGGTTATTCCTAGGTTATATTAGTAATGCAACAAAGAGTAATATTAAAAGCTAATGATTAATAATGTTTATAATAATGATTGATAATTGTCCACGATCATCTCTATATCTAATTTGTATTATGACTATTCTTATTCTATTTTCTTTATTATACTGAAACAGTTTGTGCCTTTAGTCTCTTGCCTCGGCACCTAGGTAATCCTTCGCCCACAATATATAATAATTAAAAAAATTAAATTTAGCTGTTCATGGTAGCACCTGTAGTCCCAGCTACTCAGGAGTCTGAGGCAGGAGAATCGCTTGAACCTGGAGGCGGAGGCTGCAGTGAGCCGAGATCGTGCCATTGCACTCCAGCCTGGGTGACAGAGCAAGACTCCGTCTCCAAAAAAAAAAAAAAAAAAATGAGGAGACAGAGAAAAATGGAGGAATAGAAGACTGCAGCTATCATCCCCCTCCACAAGGACACCAATTTAACAACTTCATGAGGTGTTAAAAATCAGGTGAGCACTCATAGTACCTGCTCTTAACTTTATAATGCTGAAAGAGACACCGAAGAAATAGCAAAAACAGTCCTGAATCACTGACGCCCCTCTGCCCCTGCAGCTGTGTTGTGGTACTGAGGATATCTCTGCGTGCACGGGAGGGAGAACACAGCAACTGTGATGCACTGAACTCAGTGCTGTCCTGTTACGGCAGGAAGGAAAACCACACCCAACTCAGCTGACGCCTGCCCATGGAGGGAGCATTTAATAACAGCCCTACCCAGAGGGGAATCACTGATCCCAGTGGTCTAAACTTGAGTTCCTGCAAACCTCACCACCGAGGGCTACAGTCTGGGTCTCCAAGTAAACTTGAAAGGCAGCCCAGGCCATGAAGACTGCAGATCTCAGGCGAGTTCTAGTGCTGAACTAGGCCCAGAGGCAGTTAACTGGGAGGGCAGGTGACATACTGAGACACCAGCTAAGGCAGCCAAGGGCGTGCTGGCGTCACCCCTTCCCTAACTCCAGGCTGCACAGCCCGTGGCTCCAAAGGAGACCCTTTCCTTCTGCTTGTGGAGAGGAGAAAGAAGAGTGGGGAGGACTTCATCTTGCATCTTGGATACCAGTTCAGCTGCGGCAGAATAGGGGACTGGGAAGAGTCGTGAGGCCCCCATTCCAGGCCCTAGTTCCCAGATGACATTTCTAGACACACCATGGGTCAGAAGGAAACCCACTACCTTGAAGAAAAGGACTCAGTCCTGGCAGCATTCATCACCTGCTAACTGAAGGTTGGCAGGACCCTGAATAACCAGCAGTTACATTTAGGTACTATGTCAAGGCCCTTGGTTGAGCCTCTGAGACTTGCTGGCTTCAGGTGAGACTCAGCACATTACTAGCTGTGGTGGCAACAAGGCAAAACTCCTTCTGTTTGAGAAAAGCAGAAGGAAAAGTAAAGAGGGCTTTGTCTTGCACCTTAGGTACCAGCACAGCCACAGTGGGGTAAAGCACCAAGTGGGCTCTTGAGGTCTCCGATTCCAGGACTTGACTGTTGGACACCATTTCTGCACCTGCCCCAGGCCAGAGGGGAACCCATTGCCCTGAAGGGCGAGTCCCAAGGCAGGAAGCATTCAACACAAGCTTGACTTAAGATACCTCGATGCTTAAGGGAATATTGGAGGTAGCCTGGCAGTACTCCTCGTGGCCTGGGTTGACAGTGGCTATGGGGTGAGGCTCCTCTGCATTTGGGAAGGGAAAGGAAGAGTGGGAAGGACTGCATCTGGTGGTCTGAATACCAGCTCAGCCACAGTACAATAGAACACCAGCTAGACTTCCAAGTTTTTTTACTCTAGTCCCTGATTCCCAAAAGGCACCTCTGGACTCACCTGGGGCCTGGGGGACCTCACGGCTCTGAAGGGAAGGACACAGGCCTGGCCGGCTTTGCCACCAGCTAATTGTAGAGCCCCAGGGCCTTCAGCAAACATAGGCAGTAGCCAGGAAGTGGTTACAGCCAGCCTTGGCAAGCCCCACTGCTGTGCTGGCTTCAGGTCTGACCCAATGCAGTCATAGTGGTGGTGGCCACAGGGATGCTTGTGTCACTCCACCGCCGGCTTTATGTGGCTCAGAACAAGGAGAGTGAGACTCTTTTTGCTTGGAAGAAAGTAACAGAATGGAACAGGAGTCTCTCTGCCTGATAATGCAGAGAATTCTTCTGGATCTTTTCCAAGACCATCAAGGTAGTACCTCCATGAGTCTGCAAGAAAACAGTGTTACTGGGATTGGGGTGCTCTCTAAATCAGATACAGCTTACATCACAATATCCAAGTACTTTCAAATATCTGGAAAGCCTTTCTAAGAGGGATGGGTACAAATAAGCCTAGACAGTGAAGACTACAATAAATACTTCACTCTTCAATGCCCAGACACTGAAGAACATTTACTAACATCAACACCATCCAGGAAAACATGACCTCCCAAATGAACTAAATGAGCCACCAGGGACCAATCCTGGAGAAACAGAGATGTGTGACCTTTCAGGCAGAGAATTCAAAATAGCTGTGTTGAGGAAACTCAAGAAATTCAAGATAACACAGAGAAGGAATTCAAAATTATATCAGATACATTTAACAAAAAGATTAAAATAAAAAGAATCAAACTGAGATTCCAGAGCTAAAAATGCAATTGGCATACTGAACAATGCATTAGAGGCTTTCAGTAGCAGAATTGATCAAGCAGAAGAAAGAATTAGTGAGCCTGAAGACAGGCTATTTGAAAATACACAGTCAGGGCCAGTCATGGTGGCTCATGCCTGTAATCACAGCATTTCAGGAGGTCGAGGCAGAAGGATCACTTGAGCCCAGGAGTTTGAGTCTAGCCTAGACAATGTAGTGAGACCCCCCCCCTCCTTAAAAAAATAAAAAAGGCCAGGCGCAGTGGCTCATGCCTATAATCCCAGCACTTTGGGGAGGCCAAGGCAGGTGGATCACCTGAGGTTGGGAGTTCGAGACCAGCTTGACCAAGATGGAGAAACCCTATCTCTACTAAAAATACAAAATTAGCCGGGTATGGTGGCACATGTCTGTAATCCCAGCTACTTGGGAGGCTGAGGCAGGAGAATAGCTTGAACCTGGGAGGCGGAGGTTGCAGTGAGCCAAGATCATACCACTGCACTCCACCCTGGGCAACAGAGCCAGGCTCCATCTCAAAACAAAACAAAACAAAAAAAAGAGCTAAAGAGAGAGTTAGGCCCCAATACAATAATAGCTGGAGACTTCGACACCCCACTTTCAGCACTGGATGGATCTTCCAGGCAGAAAAATCAATAAAGAAACATCAGACTTAATCTGCACAATAGACCAAATGGATCCAGTAGATAATTACGGAACATTTCATCCAATGGCTGTGGAATACACATGCTTTTCCTCAGCATATGGATCATTCTCAAGGATGGATCATTTTAATAAGAAATTTAAAAATTTCTTGGAACAAATGCTAATGGGAGCACAACATACCAAAATCTATGGGATACAGCAAAAGCAGTACTAAGAGGGAAGCTTATCGTTATAGTGCCTACATCAAAAAAGAGGGAAACTTATAGTGCCTACATTAAATAAACAATCTAATGATGCATCTTAAAGAATTAGGAAAACAAGAGCAAACCAAATCCAAAATTAGTAGAAGAAATAATAAAGATCAGAACAGAAATAAATGAAATTAAAATGAAGTAAACAATACAAAAATCAATGAAACAAAAAGTTGGTTTTTTGAAAAGTTAAGCAAAATTGACAAGCTTTTAGCCAGACTAAGAAAAAAAGAGAGATCTAAATTTACCTTCAGTATTGAAAATAATGCGAAGATGAAATACATAGCATATCGAGTTGGCATTATGTGTAAAGGGGCAGAAGCCATACATGATTAAATAATTTGGCATAAGAGATTTCTTGTATTTTTGGCCTGTGTTTTCACTTCTATGATCTTCAAAACACTCACAGTACTTGTATTTGGGGAGTGGTTGTGGTCTACAAATTTCGTAAGTACCTGCTGTCCATCTGAAAGTCTGGTTATTTCTCAGCCATTGCAATTAGGTGATTTTCTACGTTTGCAGCACGAATAACAATTAACTTTTAAACTGTTTCACTGTTAAGTAGCCTCATACACTTAACACAGCCTTTTTGCAAGGGAACAATTTCACAGATCTCTTCCATTGTGTGGTAAGCAATACAGTAAGAAGAAATGATGTTCAGCTTCCCCAATACCAAATCTGTATTAGTCAGGGTTCTCTAGAGAGACAGAACCAATAGGATATGAGAGGAAATTTATTAGGGAACTTGGCTCATGCAATTATGGTGGCTGAAAAGACCCACGGTGAGGCCATCCGAAAGCTGGAGACCTTGGGATACCGGTAGCATGGTTCAGTCCAACTCCAAAGGCCTCAGAACCAGGAAAGCTGATGGTGCAACTATCCATCTGAGGCCAAAAGCCTCAGGATCCAGGGGGCCACTGGTGTAAGTTCCGGAGTCCGAAGGCTGGCAAACCTGGAGTTCTGGGTCCAAGACAGGAGAAGAAAAGTCTGTCCCAGATCTCAGAGAGAGACCAATTTGCCTTCTATATTTGTTCTGTTTGGGACCCTGGTCAAGTAGTTGGTGCCTCCCAACAATGAGGGCAGATCATCCCCCACTTAGTCCACTCAGACTCACATTCTAATCTCTGAAAACACTCTCACAGCCACATCCAAAATAATGCTTTACCAGGTTTCTAGGTATTCCTTAATCCATTCAAGTTGACACCTAAAATTATGTCCACTGTCCACCCCTTGTCAATTTGGCACTCATTTGCATCCCCTTAAATCACACTTAATTTCCAAATAAAGACAAAAAGGCTATGGTTCTGCTTGACATGACACAACTAACATGATGCAACCATCCTGTGTACAACCAAAAAATACACTAATCCCCTTCCCCAGAATTTGGCTTTCAGGGTTTCAACATTGAGGATTTTAATCTTTTGGGATTGTAATTTTCAGGATTTTAGACATGAGGGATTTAGACTTTAGAAATTTTGAACTTTAAGGATTTTGATCTTTTGGGACATCAACATTTGGGGTTTGGCATTCAGGATTGTGTCTTTCAGGATTATGATTATGAGGCAGAATTGCTTGAACCCGGGAGGCAGAGGTTGCAGTGAGCCAAGATCACACCACTGCACTCCAGCCTGGGTGACAAGAGCAAAACTCTGTCTCAAAAAGAAAAAAATTCCATTGTTGTCTGAGAACATACAGTGTATAATTTCTATTCTTTTACATTTTGAGGTGTGTTTTATGGCCCAGGTTGGTCTACCTCAGTGAACGCTCCAAGTGAGCTGACAAGAGTGAGTACTCTGTTGTTGCAGGACGAAGCAGTCTATGGATGTCAATTATATTCAGTTGATTGGTGGTGCTGTTGAGTACAACAATGTCCTTACTGATTTTCTACTTACTGGATCTGTCCTTTGCTGATAGGCATTGAAGTTGAGATCTCCAACTATAATAGTGGATTCATCTATTTCTCCTTGCAGTTTTATCAGTTTCTGCCTCATGTATTTTTTGATACTCTTGCTGACACTCTGATTTTATTTTATTTTATTTTATTTATTTATTTTGAGACGGAGTTTCACTCTGCTGCCCAGGCTGGAGTGAAGTGGTGTGATCTCAGCTCACTGCAACCTCCACCCCCAGGATTCAAGTAATTCTCCTGCCTCAGCCTCCCAAGTAGCTGGGATTACAGGCATCCGCCACCATGCCTGGCTAATTTTTGTATTTTTAGTAGAGATAGGGTTTCGCCATATTGGCTAGGCTGGTCTCAAATTCCTGACCTCAGGTGATCCACCTGCCTCAGCCTCCCAAAGTGCTAGGATTACAGGCGTGAGCCACCACGCCTGGCTGACACTCTGGTTTTAAATAAGCATTTTATCATTCTATTTCTCTCCTCTCTTAGCATAACAATTATATTTCTTTAAAAAGTTTTTTAATAGTGATTTAGAGTTTGCAATATACATTTACAACTAATCTAAGTCAAGTTTCAAATAACACTATACTGTGTCATGGTTGTGCGGATACTTCATAACAGGGTATTCCCAATTCCTTCCTCCCATCACTTACACTCCAGTCATTCACTTCAGTTATCCCTAGGCTATAGCTATCCACACATTGTTGCTATAATTCCTTTAAATAAAGTTATCTATTAAATCAATTAAATTTTTTAAAAAGATTTTACCTTCCTGTTTTTTTGCTCTGATACTCTTCCTTTCTTTATGTAGATCTGAGTTTCTAATCCATATCATTTTCCTTCTCTCTGGAAACCTTACTTTAACATTTCTTGCAAAGTATGTCTCCTGGCAAAAAAAGAATCCTTTTTTTTTTTTTTGAGACAGGGTCTCACACTATCACCCAGACTGGAGTGCAATGGTGCAATCTCAGCTCACTGCAACCTCCACCTCCCTGGCTCAAACAATCCTCCCATTTCAGCCTCCCAAGTAGCTGAGACCACAGGCACACACCACCATGCCTGGCTACTTTTATATTTTTTGTAGAGACGGGGTTTCGCCATGTTGCCCAAACTGGTCTTGAACTCCTGGGCTCAAGCAATACACCTGCCTTGGCCTCCCCAAATGTTGGGATTATAGGTCTGAGCCACTATGCCCAGCCTTAAATTTCCTTAGTTTTAGTCTTCATTTCTCCTTCACTATTTCTTTTTTTCAATTTGATTTTCTCTTTGCTTTTCTCCTTCACATTTGAAGGATAATTTTGCTGGATAAAATCCTATGTTTGTGAAGTTTTTCTTTTAACATCATAAATATTTCCATTCTGGCTCTTGCTTGCATGATTTCTGACAAGAAATCCAATGTTATTCATGTTTCTCTATATGTGTTTTTTTCTTCTGGCTTCTTTCAAGATTTTATGTTTTTGGTTTTCTACAGTTTAGATATACATCTAGGTGTCAATTTTTTGGTAGTTATTCTGCTTGGCCTTTTCTTAGCTTCCTGGATCTGTGGTTTAGTGTCTATTATTCATTTCAGAAAATTCTTAAACATTATTTCAAATTTTTTTTTTTTTTTTTTTTTTTTTGAGAAGGAGTCTCCCTCTGTTGCCCAGGCTGGAGTTCAGTGGCGTGCTCTCGGCTCACTGCAAGCTCTGCCTCCCGGGTTCATGCCATTCTCTTGCCTCAGCCTCCCGAGTAGCTGGGACTACAGGCGCCTGCCACCACTCCTGGCTAATTTTTTGTATTTTTAGTAGAGACGGGGTTTCACCATGTTAGCCAGATCTCCTGACCTCGTGATCCGCCCACCTCGGCCTCCCAAAGTGCTGGGATTACAGGTGTGAGCCACCGTGCCCGGCCTATTTCAAATATTTCTTCTCTTCCTCTTTCTTTTCCTTCTGGTATCCCCATTACACATGTGACACGACAGAGTCTCGCTCTGTCGCCCAGGCTGGAGTGCAGTGGCGTGATACCAGCTCACTGCAAGCTCTGCCTCCCGGGTTCACGCCATTCTCCTGCCTCAGCCTACCAAGTAGCTGGGACTATAGGCACCCACCACCACTGGCTAATTTTTTGTATTTTTTAGTTGAGACGGTGTTTCACCGTGTTAACCAGGCTGGTCTCAATCTCCTGACCTTGTGATGTGCCCGCCTCGGCCTCCCAAAGTGCTGGGATTACAGGCGTGAGCCACCGCGCCTGACCACATGTGACACCTTTTATATTGTTCTCCAGTTCTTGGATATTCTGTCCCAATTTTTTTTTTTTCATTCCTTTTTCTCTTTGCATTTCAGTTTAGGAAGTTTCTATTGACATATTATCAGGCTGTTTCTTTCCTTGGCCAAGTAGACTAATGATAAGCCCATCAAAGGCATTCATTTCTGTGAGAGTGTTTTTTTCTTTATTTCTAGCATTTCAAATCTTTAGAGTTCCCATCTCTCTGCTTATATTACCGATCTGTTCTTGAACTTGTCTATTTTTTTCCATTAGAGTCCTCAGCATGTTAATCATAGTTGTTTTAATTTCCTGGTCTGATCATTCCAGCACTCCTGCCATATCTTAGTCTGGTTCAGTTGCTGGTATAGCTCTTCAGATTGTGTTTTTTCTAACCTTTTAGCATGCTTTATAATTTTTTGGTTGAAAGCCACACATGATGCATCAAGTAATAGGTAATGAGGCTTTTTTTTTTTTTTTTTTGAGACAGTCTTGCTCTGTGTCCATGACTGGAATGCAGTGGCACAATCTCGGCTCACTGCAACCTCTGCCTCCCAGGTTCAAGTGATTCTCCTGCCTCAGCCTCCCAAATAGCTGGATTACAGGCGTGCACCACCACACCTGGCTAATTTTTCTGTTTTTAGTAGAGACGGGGTTTTGCCATGTTGCCCAGGCTGGTTTTGAACTCCTGGTGTCAGTGATCCGCCCACCTCAGCCTCTCAAAGTGCTGGGATTACAGGCATGAGCCACCGCACCCAGCCAGTAACTAGGCTTTTAATATGAGGCTTTATATTAATTTGGATAGGAGCTGGGCTGTATTTGAGGTTTACTGTAGCTGTCATTGTTACCATTTTACTTTTTTATATATATTTATTTTTACCATTTAAGAAAATATCTAAATAATTACCATTTTAGTGTTCCTAGCAGTCACTGACCAGCAGCCTCTTCTCCCAGTAAGCTGATCCCAATTGTGATTCTCTGTATTTGCCTGTCTCTCCAGGGTTTTGAGTGGTGGTTTGTCCTATGACTTTAATTCTTCCATGGATCTAAGAAAAGCCATTGATATTCCAATCTGTACAGTTTTTTGTTTGTTTTTGCTGTGAGGAGGGATGTGATGACTTCCAAGCTCTTTACATGTTGGAGCTGATACTAAAAGTCACCTACATACTTTTTCAAGTCCTTTCCCCATGTTTTTCTATAAAGCTCAGCTAAAATAACCCTCTGTGGAGGCCTTCCCTGACTTCTCTCTCCTAACTGAAGAGCTACTCTCTGTGTGCTCTAGTAGCTGGAGCAAATACAAGTATTAAACTTACTGTCTCTTGGCTCTTTGACTCTTTGGATGCCTGGAGAACAGGCATTATGACTCATCTTTGTATTTCTAGCATAGGGCATAAATCAATGTCTGCTGAACCGAAGGAAAAGGGAACAAAATACTCTTCGCTAACTAAAAACAAAGTACTACTTTTATTTGGCTCATTTCTCCATTTATTAGAATAACCACATTTGGAGAGGCATGAAGCACTTAAGTTTTACATGACTACAAAGTTATCACAAATCTCAAACTTTTTAGCCACAGATATTTCACCTCTGTTTAAAGAAAAAGCTTTCAAAACATCTGAGTTAGCTTAATACACAGAGACCCTGAAATATATGGGAACTACATATTTTAAATGCTTGTACTTCCTGCTCTAATAATGTCTTCTTTAAACGGAATCCAGCATAAAAGGGATTGAAATGTATAAGGTCATGATGCAAATGCTTTGGAGATAGTGAAACTGATCTGCACAACATGGAAAAAGATGTCATGTGCACAGAAGTTCTGCAAGGATTCACTGAGCCATCTGGGCTTCCATGGCTTGTGCTGTCCATTCTGGTGCTGTTTGACTAATTTTCTCCAAAAGGTTATTCACTTGGAAACAAAGTGATTGGATCTGCTTATCCCACGTTGGCAGGGCTTCTCGTGCTAAGGGGAAAAAAAATGTACAAAATTAAAATTATTCCTTTGTATTCACAGCAACTGTGAGTTAAAAGATATATACTTTTTACATGCCTATTCTTGGAAGAGGCATGTTCCTTTTAAATACCTAAAAAACAGAAAAAAGCTATTCAAAAAAAATAAAAACAATAAATACTTTTCTTTTTTGAGATGGAGTCTTGCTCTGTCACTCAGGCTAGACTGCAGTGGCAGGATCTCGGCTCACTGCAACCTCCACCTCCTGAGTTCAAGCGATTCTCCTGACTCAGCCTCCCAAGCAGCTGAGATTACAGGCACCTGCCACCGTGACTAATTTCTGTATTTCTAGTAGAGATGGGGTTTCACCACCTTGGCCAGGCTGGTCTTGAACTCCTGACCTCATGATCCACCCGCCTTGGCCTGCCAAAGTGCTGGGATTACAGGCATGAGCCACCGCGTCCAGCCAATACTTCTATTAGCTTTTAAAAGTCTAAAACTCAGGCCAGGCATGGTGGCTCACGCCTGTAACCCCAGCATTTTGGGAGGCCGAGGCAGGCAGATCACCTGAGGTCAGGAGTTTGAGACCAGCCCGGCCAACATGGCAAAACCGTGTCTCTACTAAAAATACAAAGATTAAAGAATTAAAAAAAAAAAAAGAAAAGTAAAAATACAAAAATTAGCCGGGCGTGGTGGCGGGCGCCTGTAATACCAGCTACTCGGGAGGCTGAGACAGGAGAATCACTTGAACCCAGGAGGTAGAGGTTGCAGTGAGCCAAGATCGTACCACTGCACTCCAGCCTGGGCGACAAGAGTGAAACTCCATCTCCAAAAAAAAAAAAAAAAACCTCTAAAAAATCTTGGCTAATAAAACTAAGCTATTTAAACAGCAGTTAAGAAAAGTGTTTTTTCTTTTTTTAAATTTCTAGCATTTCAAAAGTACCCAAATTACTGGCACAAGGTATAAAACAAATACATACAGATGCATGTTATTACTACTACTAGTGAAAACGAAATAAAACCGACTAACCCAACAACCTCAACCACAACAAAAAAAGACTGAGGCTGTCTTTTCATCACCAAGGCTTGCAGATTCCTAAGACACTGCCACCTACTGGGGAAAGCAAGTCTGTTTACACATTCAAATCTGTACTTGACTGAAGGATAAATATCATACCATTTAAATCCCTCAAAAAAAGTCATCTTGAATCCACCAGGGTTTTCTCTTACCAACACTATATAGTTAGAAATAAAAAATTGAGAGGAATGTCCCATTCAAAACAGTACCAAAATTTACAAAAAAGGGCACATATTTAGTGAAAAAGCAACCTATAAAATCTTTTTTTTTTTTTGAGACGGAGTCTCACTCTGTCATCTGGGCTGGAGTGCAGTGGCGCGATATCAGCTCACTGCAACCTCCACCTCCCAGGTTCAAGGGATTCTCCTGCTTCAGCCTCCCAAGTAGCTGGGACTACAGGCATGCACCACTACGCCCAGCTAATTTTTGTATTTTTAGTAGAGACGGGGTTTCACCATGTTGGTTGGCCAGGATGGTCTCAATCTCTTGACCTCGTGATCCGCCCGCCTCAGCCTCCCAAAGTGCTGGGATTACAGGCGTGAGCCACTACGCCCAGCCGCAACCTATAAAATCTTAATAAAGGGCAAAAGATAACTTGAGTAGACACAAATCACATTCCCAGGTGGAAATATACAATAACATAAAAATATCAATCCTTCTCCTTTAATAAATAAATTTAAAGAAATCCCAAAGACAATCCCCCTTTTTTTTTCTATTTTGCTTTCTAACCAGGCCAAAATTATTAAAGTTAACATAAAAAAATTGGTGTTTGAGAATGGCCAAGATAATTCTGAAAATGAAAACCAGTGGTGGAATTGAGGTATATACATCCAATGAAATGCTATTCGGCTATAAAAATGAATGAAGCACTGATTACCTGCCATGACATGGATGAACCCTAAAGATACTATGCTGAGTGGAATCAGCCAAAAGGTCACATGTCACATATTGTATGATTCCATTTATATGAACTATCCAGACTAGGTAAATCCAGAGACAGAAGATGGATTGGTGGTTGCCAGAAGCTGGGGGAAGGAAGGAATGGAGAGTAACTGCTTAAAGGGCAAGGGCTTCCTTTGGAAAGATGAAAATGTCGTGAAACTAGACAGAGATAGAGGTTGTACAACATTGTAAATATACTACAGGCCATTGAATTGTTTACTTTAAAATGGCTACTGTTCTGTTAGGTGAATTTCCTTCTTTTTTTCTTTTATCCTGTAGAAATGGGGTCTCGTTATGTTGCCTAGGCTAGACTTGAACTCTTGAGCTCAAGCAATTCTTCCACCTCAACCTCCCAAAGCATTGGGGTCACAATCATAAGCCACTGTGCCCAGCCCATGTGAATTTCAATTTAACAAAAAAAAAGGAGTGGGAAGCAGGAGTTGCTTTACCAATACTAAAATTTATTATAAATTTGTTTATTACCATATTATTGCAGATCAGTGGAACCAGAGTACAGAAATAGATGCAAACATATATGTGGAACCTAATCAGATATGTCAAAGATCACAATTTAATCAGAAAGGATGTTTTATTTAATAAATGATACTTGGATAATTGGCTATTCACCTAGAAAAAAACAACTAGACCATAACCTAAAATTATCCACAAAAATGAACTGTAGATGGATTAAATTCCTAAATGTAAAATAATATTAGAAAAATTTAGGAAAACACTAGTTTTATTCCAAGGTAGAAGAGTCTTTCCTAATCAATACAGGAAATTCAAAAGCCATAAAATAAAACATTGACCTATTTGAGTGCAAAAAAATTTAAAAATGTGTTTATGTTATGTATTGTCTTCCAGAAGAAAACCTGACAGAATTCGGCCGGGTGCAGTGCAGTGGCTCATGCCTGTAATCCCAGCACTTTGGGAGGCTGAGGCAGGCTGATCACCTGAGGTTGGGAGTTCAAGACCAGGCTGACCAATATAGAGAAACCCTGTCTCTACTAAAAATACAAAATTAGCCGGGCATGGTGGTGCATGAGCGTGGTGGTGCGTGCCTGTAGTCCCAGCTACTTGGGAGGCTGAGGCAGGAGAATCGCTTGGACCCAGGAGGTGGAGGTTGTGGTCAACCGAGATTGAGCCATCGCACTCCAGCCTGGGCAACAAGAGCGAAAGAAACTCCATCTCAAAAAGAAAAAGAAAAAGAAAACCTGACAGAATGGAAAAAAATATTTGTGACACATATTACAGATAAAGTTAAAATTATCAGCCAGGCAGCCAGGAGCGGTAGCTCACGTCTGTAATCCCAGCACTTTGGGAGGCCGAGGCGGGCGGATCACGAGGTCATGAGATCAAGACCATCCTGGCCAACATGGTGAAACCCCGTCTCTATTAAAATACAAAAAATTAGCTGGGTATGGTGGCGTGTGCCTGTAGTCCCAGCTATTCAGGAGGCTGAGGCAGGGGAATCCCTTGAACCCAAGAGGTGGAGGTTGCAGTGAGCCGAGATTGCGCCACTGCACTCCAGTCTGGCAACAGAGCAAGACTCCCATCTCAAAAAAAAAAAAGCCAGGCACAATAGCTCATACCTATAATCCTAGCAGTTTGGAAGGCTGAGGCAGGAGGATCACTTGAGGCCAGGAGCTCAAGACCAGCCTAGGCAACACCACAAGACCCCATCTCAAGAAGAAAAACAACTAGCCAGGTGCGGTGTGTACACCTGTAGTCCTTCCTAGCTACTAGGGAGGCTGAAGCAGGAGGACAGCTTGAGCTCAGGAGTTTGAGGCAACAGTGAGCTATGATCATACCACTGCACCTCAGCCTGGGCAACACAGCGAGTTGTCTCTTAAGAAAAAAAAATCATTATAACAAAAGCTACAGCAAATTGATACTGGAAGGCCAGAAGGAGAGTTGTGAGGGAAGGGAGGAAATAGACAAGCAACATTAATGCACAGAAGGGGAAATGCTATATTACTCATCATATGCTGTGTTTGTTTATTCAACACTTATTTCTCATTTACAATGTGCCAGACACTGGAACAGATGTTGGATGTACCATGGAAAATAAGACAGACTTAATACCTATCACCAGGAAGCTTAACTTGGAAACAGAAACAGACATTTAGACAAATAGTTACACAACTGAAAATAACTAAAATAAATTCTAGGAAGAAATTCAGGCTGACATGAGAATATATAATTTAAAGCCATATCTAATCTGGAAAGTCAGGAAAATCATTACTGATTAAGGATATTCAAATTGAGACATGGGACAAAGAGAAGATGGCTGGAAAGGGGTAAATATTTCAGAATGTTTGATAGGGGGAAGAATTTGCAATGCTGAAAAAAATAAAAAGAAGACTTATGCAAGAGAAAGCTAGAAAGGACCAGGACCAGCTTTTGGGAGACTTTGTAGAACTTTGTTCTACAAGCAATGGGGAAGACATTCATTACAGTGTAAACAAAAGAATAACATGATTTAACTATTTGTTTATTTCTTTTTTATGCTTGCATTTTTTAAAAGAAAATAATCACTCCAGCTGTACTAGGGAACTGAACTAGAAAGGAGCAATTGTAGATATGAGAAGGAAAGAAAGAGGTTATTTCTCAACACCTGAAGAGGTTATAATAGTAGGGTTCAGAATAGGTTGGTGATAGTAAGAAATGAAGAAAAGGACCCAATACAGTGGCTCACACCTATAGTCCCAGCACTTCAGGGATTTTGGAGGTTGAGGTGGGAGGATGGTTTGAGCCCAAGGATAAGGAGTATTGGAGAAAGCTAACAATACAGTTTTGGGATGGCTGGCTGGTTAGTCGTGGGGGACACACAAGAAGGGAAGATAATAAATTCAGTTTTTGATATGTTCATGCTAAGATGCCCATGAAGCAATCAGGTAGAAACACCTTAGTAGTAAACTAGAACCATGGGGCTGGGACTTAGAATCACTCTAGAAAGGTAAATGTAGGCATTGTCTATGCAGAGACAGTAACTGAATCAAAGGAAATAGATGAGATTACCCATGGAAACTCAGTAGCATAAGTGGGGAAAGGTCTAGGATTAAGCCCTAAGTAACTAGTATTTAAACTTAAAGGTACTACAGATTCTACAAAGATGACTATGAAGGATAGCTGGAGATATAAGAGGAAAAGTAGAATCGGATGGAAGAGATGACAAAAGTCAAGCTGTGGTGGTGGGGTGAAGGTTCAAAAAGTAGTGAGAGATCAACACTATTTGATATGTTGAAAAGTCAAGATGAGATTTGGAAGATAAAAGGATTTTCATTAAAATGGAGGAGTCCTGAGGATGTGTAAATATTGATGGAAAGAAGCCAGTAGGAAAAAAAGGATAAAATCAGACAAAAATAACTGCTAACCTCAGGTTCCTAAACCAGTGTTTTTTGGTGGGAGGGGAAAGGGAAAGGATCAGAGAAAAGGTCCAAAGCCCAAGTGGAACAACCAGACAGGGTGACGAAAACCATCTGCAGTAAAACACGAAGGAAGAAAAAGATTCACATCTATATCTAAAATTAAAGTGTTTCTACATCTGATAAAGAAGTTAAAATTTCAAATTGAATGAGAGAAAAAAATAACTAAAAAAGGAAATTAAAATATTTCATACTGATGGCTTTTTTCCCCTTTGAAATAGGAAACAAGGTTTTCTACTGAGAATAAATGGGGAGAAAAGTCAGAGATTTAAGAAAAACCAAACCTGAAATAGTCATTGCAAAGGAGGAAAAAGAGTGGACTACAGAAATGTACCATGAATCCTATGTAGTGCTGAGGACCTGTGACCTCGAATTTAGAGAGGTATCAGCCTGTCTGATGCCCGACTCTTCTCCAGCACAAAAAAGATTATGCTAACTGGAAGAAAACAGAAGAGTCAATGGACCAGAAACTCCAATAAGGTCAAGGAAGAATTGAACTGAGAGTAACGGAGACAGACCACAGACCACTAGAGAAACAAGAAAAAGGTTATGGCCAGAGTGAGATATTTCAAATAAAAATTTTGCAAGTGGAAAAGTTCTGGGTACAGCAAGGTCCAGGGTGTAAATGAGGTGGGAATAAGGAGCTGGGAAGGTATTAGACAATGAAAAAGTCAAGGGATCCACTTACCTGTCTGCCTCCATTAGTTTAATGAGTTGCTGAATAGGAAATGCAACTGTCATTTCCATATGCCTGATACATGGTATGTGGTCAATAAATATTTGATGCATAAATGAATGAACTGATACAACAATTTGAGTTTCAAATTTTTCCTTAACATAGAAAATCCTGCAGTAAGTAGATTCATGAATATAATTTTTTTTTTTTTTTTTGAGACAGAGTCTCGCTTTGTCACCCAGGTTGGAGTGCAGTGCTGCAATTTCGGCTCACTGCAACTTCTGCCTCCTAGGTTTAAGTGATTCTCCTGCCTCAGCCTCCTGAGTAGCTGGGACTACAGGTGCCTGTCACCACACCTGGCTAATTTTTATATTTTTAGTAGAGGCAGGGTTTCACCGTGTTGGCCAGGCTGATCTCAAACTCCTGACCTCAAGTGATCCACCTTTCTTGGCCTCCCAAAGTGCTGGGATTACAGGCATGAGCCGCCATGCCCAGCCTCATGAATATAACTTCTTAAAAATTATTTTAAATTATTTCTTTGGGAAATAAGCTCATTCCAGTAGTAAGATTCTGAGTCAAAGGAAACTGTCCAACATGTTTTAATCACAAATATAACAGTTCACTGCTATTTCATTATGACAGAAATACACAAAACCTCTTACTTTCAAAATGAACTATTCCATCAATCTGGTCAATAAATCCATTCATACGTCCTTCGGTTATCATTTGAGATGCTATCTTTTCCGCCTATTGGGGGAAAAAAAAACTCTCAGAAACTTTATCATATCTTTTAGTTATTCACATATGAAAAGAGAACAGAAAGCTTCTGGTTTAACTACCATCACTAAACTTTACATATACATTAATCTGCCACTAGAAGAGTAAATCTTGTAAATCTGGCTATTTCCCAATTCTTGCTGTACATAAGCCATTATTTTAAGTTAACTGGGATCTGTTTTTCTTGTGAGATTTTGGACAAGAATATAACTATCATTTTCTCCTCTGCTCAAAAGCAAACTATCAATTTTTCTTCTTACTAGGATCCATACCTCAAAAAAACCCAAACAAACTAGTTTTTCTTATTTTATTTCAATTTCCACAGTATTTGCTACCCCAGAAACTCTTTAAAAATTGAAAGGTAGATGGTGAAATTCAAAAAGAAATTGAAAGGGTTTAAAAGACAATTAAAAGAAAGCAAAAGGTCTACTACCTAACTCCTGAAGACATACTTAATGTTTACTGTGCATAAGCAAACTGGATTGTGACCTGGTCATTTATTAATTTTGACCATCTTCACAATCAATCCTATCAGTCCTGAACAGATTGTGACTAGCATTTATTGTTAAAAATATATTCACCTCCAATAGTCTCAGCAAGAGATCATACCTTAAAGCCTCAAGAAGAAAGTCTCTTTTAATGGTAACTTAAACCTTGACTCCCAAATTGTTCTTCCTTTACTGTGTATTGAATGTGTACAAGTAAAGGAATTGTTAGAAAATTCTAATTAAAATTTCATTGCCATGCCAGGCACAATGACTCATGCCTGTAGTCCCAGCACTTTGGGAGGCCGAAGCAGGAGGATCACTTGGGACCAGGAGTTCAAGACTAGCCTGGGCAACATAGCAAGACCCTGTTTCTTTAAAAAAAAAAAAAAAAAAAAGGGCTGGGCGTGGTGACTCACACTTGTAATCCCAGCACTTTGGGAGTCTGAGGCAGGTGGATCATAAGGTCAGGAATTTGAGACCAGCCTGGCCAACACAGTTCCTCTACTAAAAATACAAAAATTAGCTGGGCGTGGTGCTGTAATCTCAGCTACTCAGTAGGCTGAGGTAGGAGAATCGCCTGAACCTGGGAGGTAGAGGTTGCAGTGAACCGAGATTGCAGCACTGCACTCCAGCCTGGGCAACAGAGCTACAGTCCGTCTCGGGGGAAAACAAACAAACAAAAAAATTAGCCAGGCGTGGTGATGTGTACTTGTAGTACCAGCTACTTGGGAGTCTGAGACAGGAAGATTGCTTGAACCCACGAGTCTGAAGCAGCAGTAAGCTATGATCACGCTACTGCACTCCAGCCTGGGTGACAGAACAAGACCCTGTCTCTAAAAACAAAAAAAAATAAAATAAATAAACAGACAAAAAATTTCACTGCCAGAGAAAAAGGGATGCGACCCATAACTGCACGACTTTTAAGGTTTATAAATTAGCTAAAAGTAAGGTTGCTTAATTTTATTTAAAGTTAAGAGAATATTTTGTAAATGATACCTGCAATACTCTCTGAATGTCATTGGTACTTTGTTGGATTTAAACAGACACCAAACAAAGACATTCTCAGAAAATGGGTGTCATAACCTGAAACTCCTGAAAGACTTCTATTCTAGGTCACTTTATCACAAAACACAATTTAAAACACCAAAAAACACTAAGACAATTCCACTAATAAACACTAGGCCTATTTTAACTTCTAAAGAATGTATTTACTTGTGGCTTTTTAGGTGTAATTCTGTTGTTGTTTCCAACATTTATTTTGTTGGAAGATAATAAATGTTGTTTCCAACATTTATTTTATTTTCTCATTATTTTAATAGTTTCATCTCTTAACTTTTTTTTAAATGTATTGGAATCAAGAAGATACCTTAGCTGCAGGGATCTCTAAAAGAGCTCCAAGTTCTTCGAAGGTAATATTATTATATAATTTGCTTGCAGACAACAAATTGTGTTCAATAACAGCTCTGTCCAAGATGCTGGAACCTTAAACATAAATAAGACAGTTACAAGTTTGAAACTAGTTTTATACTCTAAAAAGATGCATCATTTTTTCTGAAAATGTCTAGGCACGTAATAACTCATCCTCTTTAACTCCTCTGATCAAAATTTTAAAAGTAGCCAATATATGATGTAGTTTCATTAATGTACAATTAAATAAAAATAACATTTAGCAAATGAGTGATTGGCAAGTAATTATTAAGCATATAGATCTAACCCCTTTGGGTTTAGAATCTTGCTTCTTCAGGCTATCAAATTAACTTTTTTTTTTGAGACAGAGTTTCATTCTGTTGCCCAGACTGGAATGCAGTGGCACAATCTCTGCTCACTGCAACCTCCGCCTCCCAGGTTCAAGTGATTCTCATGCCTAAGTATCCTGAGCAGCTGGGACTACAGGTGTGCACCACTACACCGAGCTAATTTTTTGTATTTTTAGTAGGGACAGGGTTTCGTCATGTTGGCCAGGCAGTTCTCACCTACCCTCAAGTGATGCGCCCACCTGGGCCTCCCAATGTGCTGCGATTACAGGCATGAGCCGCGGCACCAGCCCATTAACTTTTCTTTCTACAAGCATAAACTTTTACTAGCAAGCAGCAGCACAACAATCATGCAACCTGTTCTGCAAGCTTGATAAAGTGATCTCTATTCTTTTGGGAACTCCAGGAGCATCAAACCAAGGCAAATGTGAGAAATATCCAGATCCAGATCCAGGATCCGGCTAACCCTCCTGAAAGATCAGGCATAGAATCCTCTTTTAAGTGAGGTCATACAGTATCTCATAATGTTCTGGACCCAGGGTCCTACTTTGAATGTATTAGACCACTGGGCTCACCCAATGCTTACATATTTCTGCTGAACATTTAACTACTATAATGAGTGCAGGGGACAAAATATACTTGGAGACTTCAAGGGAAGTATTCTGAGAACCTCTTTTTCTTACAATGCCTCACTTCTCCTTTTCCAGAATTCCACCCACGATCTGCTAGTTTTTCACTTAACTCCTATCTCCCAGTCTACCTTGCTGCTTCCTCCTTCTTTTCCTTCTCTGAAATATTAGAGGGTTTAATTTTGCACCTTCATCTCTTTTTATCCTACATTGTCTCAATACCATCAAAATGCTGATAATGATCACATATCTCTAATCTAAATCTCCCTTTTGAATTCAGACTTACACAGCCAACTACCTAAATTAAATATCCAATCCAGTAATTTTATAAATATCTCAAATTTAATATGTTCAAAAAAGCAGGCAGGTGCAGTGGCTTACCCCTATCATCCCAGCACTTTGGGAAGCCAAGATGGGAGGAACTGCTTGAGCCCAGGAGTTCAAGACCAGCCTGGGCAAAATGGAGAGATCCTGTCTCTACAAAAAAATTTAAAAATTAGCAGGGTGTGGTGGCACATGCCTAAGCTTCTGGGGAGGTGGAGGTAGAAGGATCCCCAAGAGGTGGAGGCTGCAGTGAGCTATGGCATCATGCCAGCGCCAGCCTGGGCAAAAGAGTGAGACCTTGTCTCAAAAAGTAAAAAAAAAAAAAAAAAAAAAAAAAAAAAAAGGGACTGCTTAACCAGGCACAGTGGCTCATGTCTGTAATCCCAGTGCTCTGGAAGGCTGAGGTGGGAAGATTCTTTGAGGCCAGGAGTTCAAGACTAGCCTGGGCAACACAGTGAGACCCCAACTCTACAAAAAATTAAAATATTAACCAGGCATGGTGGTGTGCACCTGCAGTCCCAGTTACTTTGTTCCAGGCTGCAGTGGGCCATGATTGCACCAGTGCACTCTAACCTGGACAACAGAGCACGACTGTAACTAACAAAAAAAAAAGAAAAAAGAAAAACTTCTCTCCTCAGTCTGTTCCTCTCCCAATCTATCCCATGTCAAAAAGTAGTACAGCAGGCAGAGGGGAGGCAAGAATAAGGAGTTATTGTTTAATAGGTACAGAGTTTCAGTTTGGGAAAATGTAAAAGTTCTGGAGATGGATGTTGGTGATGGCTGCACAACAATGTGAAAGTAATGCCACAGAACTGCACACCCAAAAATGGTTAAAATGGTAATTTTTATGTTTTATATATTTATCACAATTTTTTTTTAACAAGGTCTTACACTGTCACTGAAACCGCAGTGCAGTGGGGCAATCACGGCTCACTGTAGCCTTGACCCCCTGGGCTCAAGCAATCCTCCTACCTCAGCCTCCCGAGTAGCTAGAACCACAGGTATGTACCACCATGCTTAGCTGTTTTTCTTTATATTTTGTAGAGATGAGGCCTCACTATGTTGCACAGGTTGGTCTGAAACTCCCAGGCTGAAGAGATCCTCCCGCCTTAGCCTCCCAAAGTGCTGGGATTACAGGCATGAGCCACCATGCCCAGCCATAATATATATTTTTTAAGTAGTACAGCAGTATACCCAGTTAAAAGGATTGTATTGCCAGGCACTGTGGCTCACGCCTGTAATCTCATCACTTTGAGAGGCTGAGGGGGGCGAATCACCTGAGGTCAGGAGTCCGAGATCAGCCTGAGCAACATCCGTCTCTACTAAAATTACAAAATTAGCCGGGCGTGGTGGCGCATGCATGTAATCCCAGCTACTTGGGAGGCTGAAGTAGGAGAATCACTTGAACCCGGGAGGCAGAGGTTGTGGTGAACCGAGATCGCACCATTGCACTCCAGCCTGGGCGACAAGAGTAAAACTCTGTCTCAAAAAATAAAATAAAAAATAGGCCAGGTGTGGTGGCTCATGCCTGTAATCCTAGCACTTTGGGAGGCCGAGGCAGGCGGATCACGAGGTCAGGAGATCGAAACCATCCTGGCTAACACGGTGAAACCCCATCTCTACTAAAAGTACAAAAAATTAGCCAGGCGTGGTGGCGGGCGCCTGTAGTCCCAGCTACTCGGGAGGCTGAGGCAGGAGAATGGTATGAAGCCAGGAGGTAGAGTTTGCAGTGAGCCGAGATCACGCCATTGTGCCACTGCACTCCAGCCTGGGTGACAGAGCAAGACTCTGTCTCAAAAAAAATTTTATAAATTAAAAAAAAAATTTTAAATAAAAACAATTCCTCTTTTTTTATGAGGAAGTGTTATGTAGAATTATTATTAAAAGATACTTCTAATTTAACATGATTTTCACTAGTCTGTACCTAAACATTGACTACCATATACACATAAGACAGGATCATTACCATCAGCTGTAGTTGCTTTTTGGTGAGGCATCAGCATGGCAGCAAATTCTTGAAGTTGATTTCCTCTGATGATCCTATCTAGATACATTTTCTCTAGGATCCCATAGGCAGCAAGTTGCTGGCACCTTTCATCCTTAAAAAGAGTAGCTAGCATCCGAGAACGCTGCTGCCCTAAGAGAAATAAATGAGCATCAAATTTCACAATGTTATTTTCACAATGTTTCTTCAGGAAAAAAAAACCTATCTTATGACCTCATTTTTGTCTACTAAATATACAGCCAGTATTCATTATTCATGGTAATTATGGTCTGCAGTCACTGCCGACGCTGAATTATCAAACACTAAACTGCTGCTCCTATGGGAATACAAAGCTAGGTTCCTGTGAGCATCTGGTCACAACATTTTTGTCAATGAATTAATCTGTAACCTTGTTTTATGTGTGTTTCTGTTTAGAGACATCCTATTTAATACATATTGTTGATTCATTAACATTGAACTCACAGCCAACACTATAAATCATACTTAAATGAAGCTATCTAACACACATATTTTCTCCATAGGGCACTTAAGAACACCCCCCAGACAGCGCTTCAGCACTATGGCTGGGTGCCATTTTAAACAGCAAAATCACTGGTAACAGAACGGAAGTGTGAAAAACATGATCTTAAACAGACCATGAAAAGGACATTTGTGTACAGTATAAAAGTAAAAAAACAAGCAGGGAATCTACATGTTCAACCTCGGGTGGAAACATGTGTCAGGACATTCAAATGTTTTTCCACCCTGCACATATCTGCAAATGACAGTGGAAGTGCTGCAAGTATTGACTTTGAGGATATGAATACATTTTACCAAGGAGGATAATTCAGAAACATGGAATCCACAGATAAAGAAGAGCAACCATACAGTCATACATGAAGAATTTCGGGCCAAAATGTTACAAGCGGTTGGAAGAACAGGTGATTTCTATTTTCCTTTTCTTATTTGTACTTCTACAATAAACATTAATTATTTCGTTAATAAAAATTTATAAAAGATGAAAAAATATTTATCTGATAGGAGACTTAATATTCACAGTTTCAATTTATATTTTTAAGGAACTTTAGTGACAACCGATAACATTAAAAAAATCAAACTCATGAAAATGATCCTATCAACAACGGTTTTCTTTCTAAATGTATTTCTAGCTCTTTATACCAAAAGGGCCTAAACACAATGACACCCAGAAGCAATGAGCATATCTACTGTCCATATCTTGGTAGTCCATTAAAAAGAACTAGGGATCCTTGAAAAATAGCTGATTTCAAGTCTGAGGCAGGCAAAACACAAGATAAATCCAAGTTCCTTTTTCTGCTAATTCGCAGGGAAGTATTCAAAGATTAATGGGGCCATGTCAAAAAGACGTAACTGGCCAGGCACAGTGGCTCACGCCTATAATCCTAGCTCTTTGAGAGACCAAGATGGAGGGACTGCTTGAAGCCAGACTACTCTGGCCAACATAGCAAGACCTCATCTCCATCTAAAAAAAAAAAAAAGACATAATCTAGTCATGATTGGAACAATTTAAACATCAAAAAGAGTAACAATTGTAACTGATTGTCATACCCTGAATAAATAAAAAGCTGTGTCAAATATACAAGAATGTTCATAGCAGTTCTATTCCTAGCAGCCAATAAGAAATTAAGATAAATGAATTGTGGTATATTCATACAATGGAATACTAAATAACAAGGAAAATGAAGAAAGTACAAATACACATAGCCATAATGATAAATTTCATAAATTTGAGCAAAAGAAGACAAGAATGAATACACTATATGATTTCATTTATAAAAAAATAAGAAGGCTAATATATACTAGTCATTATTCTTGTAGGGTTAGGAGTTGGGGCTAGTGACTGGAAGAAAGCACAAAGAAGGAGGGGTGTTGGCAATATTTTGTTTCTTGTTCTGGATGCTGGTTACATGGAGGTGTTCAGTTTGTGAAAATTCATCAAGCTGTATACTTTTCATGTGTACTTTTCCTGTGTACATATCATACCAACAGAAAATATGCAGAAAAAAAAGTAAAGTAAAAAGTTCAAAATAAAAGTACAAAAAAGGAAAAAAAAAGTTCATGCAGAAGAATAGAATGAGCAAATCACCATTTTGTAACATAGAATGTAATGAATGACCCAAGCAAGGATTATTATTATTATTATTATTTTTTTTTTGAGACAGAGTTTCACTCCTGTTACCCAGGCTGGAGTGCAATGGCGCGATCTCAGCTCGCTGCAATCTCTGCCTCCCGGGTTCAAATGATTCTCCTGCCTCAGCCTCCCAAGTAGCTAGGATTACAGGCACATGCCACGACGCCCGGCTAATTTTGTATTTTCAGTAGAAACGAGGTTTCTCCATGTTAGTCAGGCTGGTCTCAAACTCCCGACCTCAGTGCTCCGCCCACCTCGGCCTCCCAAAAGTGCTGGGATTACAGGCGTGAGCCACCGTGCCTGGCCTCAAGCAAGGATTCTTAATGGCTGCTAACTTATTATGTTAAAGAAAGTAGAAAACAGAATTTTTCGTGTCATGGAATGCAAAAAACTTATTGATATGGTTTCAGATTCCACATTGCAACTAATCTGTAAGAAACTATACCATCTGTCGGCCGGGCACGGTGGCTCATGCCTTTAATCCCAGCACTTTGGGAGGCCGAGGTGGGTAGATCACGAGGTCAGGAGATCGACACCATCCTGGCTAACGCGGTGAAACCCCGTCTCTACTAAAAAATACAAAAAATTAGCCTGGCGTCAGGAGAATGGCTGAACCTGGGAGGCGGAGCTTGCAGTGAGCCGAGATCGTGCCACTGCACTCCAGCCTGGGCGACAGAGGAAGATTCCGTCTCAAAAAAAAAAAAAAAATTAGCTGCGCGTGGTGGCGGGCACCTGTAGTCCCAGCTACTCCGGAGGCTGAGGCAGGAGAATGGCGTGAACCCAGGAGGCGGAGCTTGCAGTGAGCCGAGATAGTGCCACTGCACTCCAGCCTGGGCGAAAGAGCGAGACTCCATCTCAAAAAAAAAAAAAAAGAACTATACCATCTGTCAAGTATACTATCAAAGAATATCCACAATTACCTGAAAATGCGATTAAAATGTGCTTGTCTTTTCCAGCTACACATCTGTGTGAGGCTGAATTTTCTTCATATACTTTAACTAAAACAACCTATTAAAACGGAGGGAATGCGGAAGTACCTATAAGAATGGAGCTGTTTCGGCCGGGTGCGGTGGCTCACACCTGTAATCCCAGCACTTTGGAAGGCGGAGGAGGGCGGATCACAAGGTCAGGAGATCGAGACCATCCTGGCTAACATGGTGAAACCCCGTCTCTACTAAAAAATACAAAAAATTAGCCAGGTGTGGTGGCAGGCGCCTGCAGTCCCAGCTACTCACTCGGGAGGCTGAGGCGGGAGAATGGCATGAACCTGGGAGGCTGAGCTTGCAGTGAGCCGAGATCGCGCCACTGCACTCCAGCCTGGGCAACAGAGTGAGACTCCGTTTCAAAAACAAACAAACAAAAAAAAAAACAAAAAGAAGAATTGAGCTGTTTCCTATTAAGCTAGATATTGAAAAAAAATTTTAAACATAAAACAATTCCATTCCCAGTAACATTTTTTGCTTTGGAAAAATATAATTGTTTTTCATAAAAGTATGTCATTTATGTTTATATGTAATGGGTCTATTATTGCTACTTTAAAATAAATTAATAAATTGTCTTAAATTACTCATTTAATTTCTAATAATCAGTAGATAGAATCTACATAAACAGGAGCTTTCCGGTTCTCAATACTTTTTCAGAGTGTAAAGGGGTCCTGACACCAAGAAATTTGAGAACCTAAAGTACTGAAAGAAAACATGGGGGGATTTACAACTACATATAATTTCAGAGTAGGGAAGACTTGTCTAAGCAAGTCAACAAAACCTTGAAGCCATTAAAGAAAGATTAATAAATGTAATTAAGTAAACACTAAAAGGTTCTGCATGGCAAAAATGTCATAAACAAAACCAAAAAGATGACAAGTTAGGAAAAATTTTAATTTTCCTTCATATCTAAAGAGCTTCCACAAGCCACCAAGAAAGGACAAACAACTCAAAAAATGGCCAGTCAACATAAATGTATAATTCACTCAATAAAGAAATACAGATTTTCAACAATTTTTTTAAACATACGAAAAATGCTCAAGAGCATTCATCAATACAAATTAAAACTAAAGTGAGATACTGTTTTTCATCTACCAGATCAGAAAAGATAAAAGAATGTGATAATACCTGTGTAAGAAATCAGGTGCTCATGAATGTTTTTGTTTGGAGTGTAATAGTATAGGGCAATGTGGAACGTCTATCAAAAATTCAAAAGTATGTACCTTTGGATCCAGAAAGTTAACCTATACATATACTCATACATGTGCATAATCACTATAGTGTTGTGACTGACTAAATGAATTATGATAAAGCCAGACAATAGAAAACCAAAAAGAATGAGTTATATGTACTGACATGTAAAGATCACTATGATGTATACAGTTACAATAAAAAGGTAAGTTGCAAAAGTGTGTATATGCTACCATTTGTATTGAAAGATAGGTAAGAAACCAGTAAAAGTTCTTTAGAAAAAGAAGCAGTACCATGTTCATGTACTGCGTTTTCAGTAACAAAAAATAAAATAAATAAGATAACTAGTCTATAAAGAATAAAATGGAATGGACGTGGTGGCTCACACCTGTAATCTCAGCACTTTGGGAGGCCAAGGCAGATGGATCACTTGAGCCCAGGAGCTCAAGACCAGACTGGGCAATATGGAGAAACCCCATCTCTAGAAAAATACAAAAAAATTAGCCAGGCATGGTGGTGTGCACCTGTAGTCCCAGCTACTTGGGAGGTTGAAGTGGGAGGATCACTTGAGCCCAGGAGATTGAGGCTGTAGTAAGCAGTGACTGCGCCACTGCACTCCAGCCTGGGTGATAGAGCAATTTAAGAAAAGCTATGGTTTAGAATTAGCATTTCCTCTTAATACCCATTCTACTTCATAAGTGATTTACATGCTAAAATTCAGTAAAAAGAACAAACAATATTTGTTACACGTATTGAAGAAAAGGATAAATGCCAGGTCTAAAACTAAGGCTTGAAGGTTAAAAAAAAAAACCCAAAAGCAGTGCATTAATTATCATTTCATCAATCTATAGATTTTAATTTTTGTTTCACTCTGCGTAATTCTCAAGTTGATATCCACTTCTTTAGTGAAATTTTAGAACTTTATATTATCTCTTTTAACTATTCTTTTTTTTTTTTTTTTTTTTGAGACAGAGTCTCTCTGTCGCCCTGGCTGGAGTGCAGTGGCCTGATCTCGGCTCACTACAAGCTCCACCTCCTGGATTCACGCCATTCTCCTGCCTCAGCCTCCCCCACAGCTGGGACTACAGGCGCCTGCCACCACGCCCGGCTAATTTTTTGTATTTTTAGTAGAGATGGGGTTTCACCTTGTTAGCCAGGATGGTCTCGATCTCCTGACCTCGTGATCCACCCGCCTCGGCCTCCCAAAGTGCTGGGATTACAAGTGTGAGCCACCGCGCCCAGCCCTCTTTTAACTATTCTTACCACATATGCATAATAGGCTGATATGAGCATATTAAATTATTTAACAAATCATTTTATTTCTGTTTTTAAACACTTAAACTACATTTACCATAACTGTATTATGAAGACATCCTTTTGAAGAATAGTTCCTTGCTAAATTTTCCAACAGTAACCAACCTAAAGTTATTAAGCAAAGATAACTGTTCATTTAAGTATAAATTATTACGTGTTTACCTGCTGATGCTAAGATCGTACAGTGCAAAGCATGTTTTAAGGCCTCTAGTCTTTCACTTTCGTGGACTATTGTCTTGTAAGAGAGCTCATTGTACCTTTGTGCAGCTTCAATGAATTTTCTTCTATAATCAAGAACACGTGCATAGCATACCTAACAGAGGGAAAATATTTCAATTAGGGGACAAATTAAAAAGCAAGAGTTAAACAAAACAAAACAAAACAGAGAAACAATTTCTAATATTTAAGAGCATCTATCAGATGTCCTGGAACATCTTAGTATGTTACAATTCTCCAATACAAAAGTAATTCCAAATCAACTCATCTGTTACCTTATAATGTATCTGTAATTGTTCATTGGTTGATTCATTCTGAAGCAACGATGCTCGATTTATGTAAGCCTCTGCCTGGACTGGATCATCATCCTCCAGATATAGCCTAGCAATCTTCAAGTAAGTCTCCAGTTTATAATCTACATTGTACTGTCTAGGATGTAACAGAAAAACACATAATGACTCAACATTTTGTCAAGAAAATTTTAGGAATAATAGAAGATATGTTGTTTTTTCCTGATATATATTCTGGTACCGTAAGGGAATCAAACTTTTTTTTTGAGATGGAGTCTTGCTCTGTCGCCCAGGCTGGAGTGCAGTGGTGCAATATTGGCTCACTGCAAACTCCCCCTCCCGGGTTCACGCCATTCTCCTGCCTCAGCCTCCCAAGTAGCTGGGACTACAGGCGGCAGCCACCACGCCCAGCTAATTTTTTGTATTTTTTAGTAGAGACGGGGTTTCATCGTGTTAGCCAGGATGGTTTCGATCTCCTGACCTCATGATCCACCCGCCTCGGCCTCCCAAAGTGCTGGGATTACAGGCGTGAGCCACTGCCCCCGGCCGGGAATCAAACTTTTTACTGCATTACACAAAAACTAAAAAGTTTTATTGAATTTTTATTATCATTAATCACATTATATCTTAGCTGCTTTTAATCCTCAGATAATCTCACAAGCTAAAGATCTTAAAAGAACAACTGCCCAGTTTAGGGGTATATCATATATGACTAGTGGGACAACCTTCCTAGAAAATAACTGGGAAATATGCTCTCCAACCATCCTTTGAATCCTTTAAAATGCATATACCCTTAACCCACTATACATTTACCTTTAGAAAATAAATCCTAAGGCCGGGCGTGGTGGCTCATGCCTGTATTTCCAGCAATTTGGGATGCCTAGGCAGGTGGATCACCTGAGGTCAGGAGTTCAAGACCACCCTGACCAACATGGTAAAACCCTGTCTCTACTAAAAATACAAAAAATTAGCCGGGCATGGTTGGCACCACACTTGTAATCCCAGCTACTCGGGAGGCTGAGACAGGAGAATTGCTTGAACCCAGGAGGCACAGGTTGCAGTGAGCCAAGATCGTGACATTGCACTCCGGCCTGGGTGACAGAGTGAGACTTCGTCTCAAAAAAAAAAAAAAGAAAAAGAAAAAAAAGAAAAGAAAAGAAATCCTAAAAAGAGAGCCAGGTATGTGCACACATATTCATCTAAAAGGATATTCATTTGTAAAATTATTTATTTATAAATATCTATGCTAGGAAAAAAATTGGAAATCACCCATTATGATATTATTGGTGATCAAGTTGTGGTGCATAAAAATGGTAGAATACAAGACTGGGCGCGGTGGCTCACACCTGTAATCCCAGCACTTTGGGAGCCCGAGGCGGGCAGATCACGAGGTCAGGAGTTCAAGGCCAGCCTGACCAATATGGTGAAACCCTGTCTCTACTAAAATAAAAAAATTAGCCAGGCATAGAGGCACATGCCTGCAGTCCCAGCTACTAGGGAGGCTGAGGCAGGAGAATAGCTTGAACCCGGGAGGTGGAGGTTGCAGTAAGCCGAGATCATGCCACTGCACTCCAGCCTGGGCAACAGAGTGAGACTCCATCTCAAAAAAAAAAAAAAGGTAGAATACTGTATAGTTATAATCTAGTCACCACGTATTTTTCCTAAATGAAAAAACTGGATAAAACAGTATGTAAAACACTATTAAAATATATTTCTATACACATATATCAAAATACTAATAGCAATTATCTGTGGGTAGTCAGATTATAGGTGGCTTTCATTTTCTTCTTCATCTCAGTGGTCACATTTTATGCCAGGAGTGCATAACTAAAGACCTCACATAACTCAAAACTCACATGAAACAAGATTAATCCTAACAGAAAAATTAATCCTATTTACCTGCAAAAGTGGTGCCACCATGTGGCAAGAACACAGAGTTTATAATTCACTTGGCCCCAGCTTTGAAAATAATTCTATACTTTATTGATTTGGGGGCAAAGGAGAATGGGAGGAGAAATTTATGCAAATTTATTCCTTGCATATATTAATATTCTGTACTTTTTTCCATTCACAATTCAAATTTACATTGCTTGCTATGCATAGCACTATACTGTTGAATTTTCCAATTTTTTGCCAAGTGTAACTATTATATCGATTACTTTCATAATCAGAATGAATCATTTTTTGAAAGAAAAAGTTCCCATTTATCCAAAGTCTACATTTAGTCACTTTAACTCGTTTAGAAAACCAATGACATTTTTATCTCTTTGGTTTCCTCACAGATGAGGATAACACTATAGTACTATAAAATGATAATTATGACCACTGCAAAAAACAGTATCTAATTTTATATTTGTTTCAGCTACCACTGAAAATAAATCAATTGCCCTGTGCTAGGGAAAAAATGCTAGGTAAAGAATAAGACCAAAGCAATCAAGAAAGCCCAGCTTTTTCAAACTACCAAATTATCAAGGGACCTTGAAATGCAAAATTCAACATCTACATATGAAGGCTTTTTTACAAACTGGCCGCTTTTTCAAGGAGCATCATTGCCAAGTAATTTCATAAATAATGCACAAAAAAGGCAAGATGTCTGAAGCAGTGTCTGCCTCACTATTGCAAATATTAATGAAGAACAAAAAAAGAATCCCCCGTTCACCTGGCAAACGAGTAGAAAAGCAGATGAAGTTATTTTTTGTTTTGTTTTGTTTTGTTTTGTTTTTGAGATGGAGTCTCGCTCTGTCACCCTGGCTGGAGTGCAGTGGTGTGATCTTGGCTCACTGCAAGCTCCGCCTCCCAGGTTCACACCATTCTCCTGCCTCAGCCTCCCAAGTAGCTGGGACTACAGGCGCCTGCCACCACACCTGGCTAATTTTTTATATTTTTAGTAGAGACGTGGTTTCACCATGTTAGCCAGGATGGTCTTGATCTCCTGACCTTGTGATCCGCCTGCCTCAGCCTCCCAAAGTGCTGGGATTACAGGTGTGAGCCACCGCGCCTGGCCAAAGATATTTTTAAGTCCTTCACAGTTGGTACCGTTTTATACTTGCCAACTGGAAGAGGAAGTGTTTTCAATACAATAAGCAATAGTCTCATACCTTTCATCCTTCTCGTGCAATATACTTAGGAGAAATGTTTCATAAAGAACTATAAATTTTAAAAAACATATACATCAAGAGGTAAGATTGGTTGAGTAAGAGTTATAAACCATCTTTTTTTTTTTTTGAGACAGAGTCTTACTCTGTCACCCAGGCTGGAGTGCAGTGGTGCAATCTCGGCTCACTGCAACCTCCACATCCCGGGTTCAAATGATTCTTGTGCTTCAGCCTCCCCAGTAGCTGGGATTACAGGCACATGAGACCACACCGGCTAATTTTTGTATTTTTAGTAGAAACAAGGTTTCACCATGTTGGCCAGGCTGATCTCAAGCTCCCGACCTCAGGTGATCTGCCCACCTCAGCCTCCCAATGTGCTGGGATTACAGGCGTGAGCTACCACGCCCTGCCATCTTAATTTTTTAAAATTGTTTTTCTACCTCATTTTCTCTAGTATCTCAAACCCAACAATCCTTGAACCCACTGTGCCCTCCAAACCACTTATCCCTTACATGTCACTGCCTTTCTCCATAAAGGCCTCACTTCCCTCTTTACCTAGCCTAACTCCTATGGTCACTCATTGTAATAACTTATCATCATTGAACCGCATAGGTACTCATCTCCCTTGTCCCTCTCTTGCTGTCATACTTGTTAGGCAAAAATTGCAACTGTGGTTAAACCTAATTGTTTGCTCACTCCTTTCCCGTACTCATGTAGCTGAAATGTGATGGGAAAAAGCACCAAATCAAATTTTTTTTAGAGATGGGGTCTTAGTGTGTTGCCCAGTCTGGGCTCAAATTTCTGGGCTCACAAGATCCTCCCACCTCCGCTGGGACTGAGGCTTGTAGCCAGGACTACAAGCATGAAGCCACTGTGCCCAGTATGACTGATCTAATTTTAATCATTATGATCTTCAACAAGTCCTTAATGCTGCCAAGTTTACATGCTGAGTCCATTCATTGTCCCACTCTCCTAAGGGGATTACTTCTCACATTATTGTCTCTCCTCAACCTCACACTGCAACCCCATCCACCGTTCCAGCTGATGTCTCTGATTTCAACTTCCTTAAGAATATTGAAGCAAGGCTGGGCATGGTGGCTCACACCTGTAATCCCAGCACTTTGGGAGGCCAAGGCAGGTGGATTGCTTGAGCCCTGGAGTTTGAGACCAGCCTGGGCAACATGGTGAAACCCCGTTTCTACTAAAAATACAAAAATTAGCCAGGCGTAGTGGTGTGCACCTGTAGTCCCAACTACTTGGGATGCTAGGAGACGGACACTGAAGTGAGCTGAGATCACACCACTGCACTACAGCTTGGTTGACAGAGCCAGACCCTCTCTCAAAACCAAAAAGCCAACAAAAAAAGAATACTGGAGCAATGCAATGAAAGAGTACTTACACAAATTCCACCACTATATCACTAATATGTCTACAGACATTTTTCTTGTCACAACTAGGAACAGCAGTACTATTGGCATCCAGCAATCAGAGGAGTGGTGCTGCTAAAACCTCCTGCAATACACAGGACAGCCCCCACAACAAAGTATCTAGCCGAAAACGCCAGTAGTGCTGAGGCTGAGAATCTCTGACACAGATGAACTACCCATATTCCTATCTAAAGCCTATCCCTCTGCTAGATTCCTTCCTCTCTTGTCTACTCCTGCAAGAATCCTCTCCCCAATTCCCCTATATCAAATTTTTGCTTTCTACTGGATCATAAAAGAAAAACTAATCCCTTAGCCTAACGTCTGCTGTCATCGTCTACCCTGTTTTTCTTCCTACCTTTTTTGAAAACTCCCCCACAGGGTAGCCCATACTCACTATCTCCACATCTTCTCTTCCCATTCTCTCTTAAACCATGCAATCAGGCTTTCACTATCATTTCACAAAACTCAGCTGGTTAAGGTTATCAGTGGCCTCTACACTACTAATGCCAACAGTTAACCTGTACTCCTTATCTTACTTGACCTATCAATGCCATAGCTCACCACCTGGCCCTTGATACATTTTCCTCATTTGGCTTCTAGGACACCACCCTCCACATTATTCTGATTTCCTTCTTACCTCAATGGATAATCCTTCTCATTTGCTACATCTTCCCCTGGTCCCAACCTCTTAACGTTGAAGTGCTCCAGGCCTCACTATACTCAGTCCTTTTGCCTATCTACATTCTCTCCTTTGGGCATCTCATCCAATCTAATGGCTTTAAATTTCATCTATATGTCAATAACTCCCAAATATGTATATCTAGTCCAGATATCTCTTCTAATCTCCAGACTAATACATTCAACTCCTCACTACATATTTCTACTTGGATATCATATGTCCAAAATGAAACTCTTGATATTCCCTACAAACCTATTCTTCCCCACTCCAACTTTCCAATTGCTCAGGCCAAAAATCAGGGCTTATCTTGACTCTTTTTTGCACACTCTACATACAAGCCATCAGGAAATCCTTACTCTACCTTAAAAAACATATCTAGAATTCAATACTTCTCACAACATCCACCTTATCTGTGGTACTGTATAAGCCTTTTTTAAAAAAGACAGGGTCTTGCTTTGTGCCCTAGGTGGGAGTACAGCAGTGCAATCATGGCCCACTGCAGCCTCAAATTACTGGGTTCACACAATCCTCTCGCCTCAGCTTCCCAACTACCTGGGAGTATAGATGCATATCCATACTATATCACCAGGCCCAGCTAATTTAAAACAAAAAAAAATTTTTTTGTAGGGATGGGGGGTGTTCTCAATATGTTGTCCAAGTTGGTCTCAAACTCCTGGGCTCAAGCGATCCTCCCGCCTCAGCCTCCCAAGTAGCTAGGACTACAGGCATGTGCCATCATGCCCAGCATTTTTTTTTTTTTTTTTTGGTGGAGATGGGGTCTAGCTATGCTGCCCAAGTGGTTCTCGAACTCCTGGGCTCAAGCAATCTTCTCCCACCTCAGCCTCCCAAAGTGCTTGGACCATAGGTGTGAGCCACTGTACCTGGTCTCATAAGCCTCTTAACCAATATCCCTACTTCTATCACTGCTTGCCTACAGTTTATTCTCAACCCAGTAGTGAGAGTAATTATTTAAAACAGAAGTCAGATCATTTCACTGTTTGTTCACAATTCTCCAATGGCTCCCCCTCATTTCACTTAGTGAAAAGCCAAATTCCTTACAATGGCTTATAAAACTCCACATAACCTGGTCCCCAGTACTCTCTACTCTCATCCCTGATCTCTTGCCCCTTTGCTCACTCTACTCTATCCACACTGGCCTCCTTGCTCTTATTAAGAAAACACTTCAAGCTTGCTCCCATCTTAGGGCCTTTGCACTAGCCATCTCCTCTAAGAGTATCTAGTGATGATATTCGGCCAGGTGCAGTGGCTCACAGACCTGTAATCCCAGCACTTAGAGAGGCTGAAGTAGGTGGATCACTTGAGGTCAGGAGTTTGAGACCAACCTGGCTAACATGGTGAAACCTAGTAAACATGGTGAAAATCTAGTAAAAATACAAAAATAGCCAGGTGTGGTGGTGCATGCCTGTAGTCCCAGCTACTTGGGAGGCTGAGGCAGGAGAATTGCTTGAACCCAGGAGGCAGAGGTTGCAGTGAGCCGAGATCATGCCACTGCACTCCAGCCTGGGCAACAGAGCAAAACTCCGTCACAAAAAACAACAACAACAACAACAACAACAAGAGTATCTGGTGATATTCTTTCCTCAGATCACTCTTAGCTACTCCCTTATCTCCTTCAAGTCTTTGATAAAGTGACATCAGGGCCACCCTACTACCCCAATCACCCTATTTAAATATACATACAACCTGTCCCCGCTTTGCCCCATTACTTTTCTCCACAGCACTTATCACCTTCTAACATACTACACAATTTTGTATTTATTTGTTTATCTGTTTCCTGTACTAGAATGTAAGAAAAAATATAAGTGAGCAATTATATACATCCTATATATAGTCATCCAATATCCACTATTTACTATACTTTTGTCCTGTTTCCAAAGGAATTCCCACCAACACTTGGGCTGCATTTCTCCAATCTTCTTCTTTCTCATATATAGATGCAAGATGCTGTCTTATGGAAGCAACCTGGAATAATAGGTATACATGTCAAATTATTTCAACTGACATTAGTAACTAATTAAAATAAATAGGAAAGTTATTCTAAAGTGGCAATTCAACATACTAAGCTGCCACGTAAACAGTAAACGTTTATCAAGACCACCCAAGTTTTCCTACGAATTTTGCATTTACAGAATATCAAACTAGTGAACGGAAGCAACACATTTCTGCAATGTGGATTATGGTACAATACTGTAGTTTAAACATTAAATTTAGCTTGTATGTTCCTGCATACACGATGCTGGAGTTTTCCTGTGTTTTCAGCTGAAATACCAATTTTACTGATTTTAAAAAATTGTCTAGAGAGCAATATTTGATTCACAAAATCAAATTTTACTTTATAAGCAAATGTCAGTTGGAGTTGTAACAACCTAATATTTACTTGATTTTGCATCATAAAATGTCGTTTGGCACACTGTTTTGTCAAAAATGAAATTGGATGATTATCTCCTTTAAGAATTTACTAATATCAGATTCTCAAAATAACTGCTGCTATCTCAAGTTAAAAAACCACTTCTCTAGATTTTTACCTGCTCCTCAAATGAAATGACTCTAGGCTGGATCTTTTCCAAGGTGAAGTGATAGATTTCTTTGGCTGTGCTATCAGGCAAGTTAGGAAGATGTGTGCAAAAATCAGTCAGCAACTGCCGCGAGATCACGAGACTGACATTCTCATTTACCACTTGTTTAAAAAAAAAAAAAAGATAAGAAAACATGAGCTGATAAATTGTCATTAAACAATCAACCTTTACTTAAAATTAATACTAACAACAATCTATATTAGTACAGCCTTCAATGCATTATTCAAGGATTTCCATACCCCTATCATTTTATATTACATCATCAGTTTTCCTTATGCTGAAATACTTGATTACACAATGACCACACAAAAACAGTAAAAATAGGCCAGTGCGATGGCTCACGCCTGTAATCTCAGCACTTTGGGAGGCCGAGGCAGGCAGATCACGACGTCAGGAGTTCGAGACCAGCCTGACCAACGTGGTGAAACGCTGTCTCTACTAAAAATACAAAAAAAAAATTAGTCAGGCATGGTGGTGGGCACCTGTAGTCCCAGCTACTCAGGAGGCTAAGGCAAGAGAATCGCTTGAACCTGGGAGGCTGGGGTTGCAGTGAGCCGAGATCACAGCACCGTACTCCAGCCTGGGCAACAGAGCTAGACTCTGTCTCAAAATTAATTAATTCATTAATTAATTAAAAAATCTTAAAAAACAGTAAAAATAACACAACTTTTCTAAGAAACAGAAATAATTGAAAAAAGTTTTAAAAGTTGATAATTTTATCTCATTTTTCTACAAAGTGAAGGCACAAAAACACCTATATTTTTATTTATGTGCTTATATCCTACCTTGTTCCAAAAAGGAGTTAAAAAAGAAAACAGTAAAATAATTTTCATGAAATTTAAATAAAGCAAGTGCTGCCAGTACAGTTATTGCCACTTATACTTTCCCAATAAAAACAATAAATAAGAACTTCAGTGAGCACTAGATGTATTGACATTATTTATAAACATTTACGAGGTATTATTTTATGTGATTAAGCTCTGGAGCCACACTGCTTCTACCACTACTGATTATATGACTTCAGACAAGAAACTTAACTTCTCTATGCTTCTCTGTGCTTCTGTTTCCTCATGTGTAACATCTATTTCATAAGGTTGTTATGAAGCTTAAATGCAATAATATACACAAAGCACTTTAAACAATACCTGGTACATAGCACTCAACAAATGTTACTATTATAACTATCATTTTAAATGCATCATTCTTGTAAACTATTGCTTAGATAAATTATTCAAGTCTTTTTTATTATTATTATTTTTTTTTTTTGAGACTGAGTCTCGCTCTGTCGCCCAGGCTGGAGTGCAGTGGCACCATCTTGGCTCACTGCAAGCTCCACCTCCCGGGTTCATGCCATTCTCCTGCCTCAGCCTCCTGAGTAGCTGGGACTACAGGCACCCGCCACCACGCCCAGCTGATTTTTTTGTATTTTTAGTAGAGATAGGGTTTCACCGTGTTAGCCAAAATGGTCTTGATCTCCTGACCTCGTGATCCGCCCATCTCGGTCTCCCAAAGTGCTGGGACTACAGGCGTAAGCCATGGCCCCGGCCAATTATTCAAGTCTTAAAGCAGCAGTTAATATGAAAATAAGTGATTCAAAAACTGTTCAGTTGATGTAAATGATTTTAACAGTAGACTGCTTTTCCTGGTGGTTTACTGGATTCAAAGCTTATACAAAGATCAAAAAATATATATATATATGTTTTTTAATTGTTTTTTTGAGACAATCTTACTGCTGCCCAGGCTGGAGCGCAGTGATGCAACCTCAGCTCACTTCAGTCTCGACCACCGGGGCTCAAGCAGTCTTCCCACCTCAGCGTCCCAATAGCTGGGACTACAGGCATGCATCACCACGCCAGGCTAATTTTCGTATTTTTTTGTAGAGACGAGATTTCTCCACATTGCCCAGGCTGGTTTTGAACTCCTGAGCTCAAGTGATCCCTTGGCTGGGTGCCATGACTCATACCTGTAATCGCAAAGTGTTGGGATTACAGGCATGAGCCACCGTGCCCAGCCAAGATCAAAGTTATAAAAAGCATTATTCTTCTGCTACTACAGTGCAAAGTTCTTAATAAACCACTCCTAACAGTTTTTTGGAAACCATTGCTAGTTTATCTCACACCGGAGGCCATGATTTTTTAAGGCAGTAACCTTTTAAGTTTTAAGGCAGTAACTTTTTAAGGCAGTATTTTTTTAAGGCAGTTGTAATTAATTAATCACATATTAATTGGAATTCATTATTGGGTAATACAGGATGTGACTGAGAAAACAGTTTCATTACAAGTGTCATTAGGCATTTAAGTTACCATACAAGCTGGTATTACTCAGGGAAATATAAGCAAGTAAGAGCAGTGTATCAGAAAACCTAGTTTCTGATCTGGGCTCTGCCAGCTAAATGTCCTTGAAAAAAAGTTACTCAATCCTGAGACTTGTCTTACAATATATTATACAGGGATACCTGTACCTATACGTTCTAGTCACAGGTTATTAAAAGGAGCCTATGTGACAGGTAATGTGTGTGAGAACACACTGTAAAGCACTATCAGATATCATTAATGATGTGAACTCACTATAAAATTCCATGTGAACTCACTATAAAATTCCTTAGGATAATGGCCTACAGACATATGCATGTTGCTGCACAGGACATGATTGTATTCTTTTTAATGTGTGCGTAGTATTTTATGGTGTATATGTGGCACATATTTCTATCCAATTTATTGATTCACACATAAGTTAAGTCCATGCCTTCCTTATTGTGAATAGCAATATGGCGAATATACAAGTGCATGTGGGGTTTCTTTTTGTGGAATTTTTAATTTTCTTTTGGATATATACTCAGTAATGGAATTGCTGGTTGAATGGTACTTCTGCTTTAAATTCTTTGAATAATCTCCAAACTGCTTTTCACAGTGGCTGAACTAATTTACATTCTCACCAACAGTGTATAAGCATTTCATTTTCTCTGAAGTCTAACCAGAATTTGTTATTTTTTTACTTTTTAATAGTAGCCATTCTGACTAATATTAGATGGCATCCCACATTGATTTGCATTTCTCTGATGATTAGTGATGTTGAACATTAAGAAAACAACCCCATTAAAACATTGACAAGGGACATAAGCAGACACTTCTCAAAGTACAGTACTGTACTACCCTGTAGTACAGTAATGTACTATAGAGTACATTTTAGGTACATTAGATGTACTACAGAGTACATTTTAAAGAGGAAAAGGAGGCACAGAGAGGTTAAATAATTGACCCAAGATCACACAGCTCATAAAATAGCATACCAGGATTTGAATCCAAACTATTCTCTTTACTATTATGCTATATTGTCCCTTATCAGCTATTATAACAATAAACATACAAAACTTTAATTAGGATTGTAATTCTGAAGATAATTCACTGAAAATTAATCAAGTTGTAAACAGTTTAAATTCTAAAATCAATCAATCTCAATGCATATTTAATATTGATAATTTGATACAAAACAAGGCTTGAGAGAACTTTAAAGTCCTAGCTCAGTAATACAAGGCAAGCATGAAATTTCCATTTCACTTACTTGCTTCCACAAAAGCTTTCAAAGCTTCTAGTTGTTCTGCTCCAGATAACTGAATGGCTTTTTCCAGGATCTGACGATACCTACAACAATACCAAATGAAAATAATGTTCTGAGGGTACTATATTTTCTAATGCAAACTTTGATGTGTATTTATTCATTTCTACATACCTTGGTTTCTTTCATAGTACTATAGTTTGTGGTTTTCTTTATAGTATACCACAGATTTTTTTTTAAGTTTCTAGTCTATCACAAGAGATATTAAATCTATAATTATATAAGGTACCACTTCATCTAGTTTTCAGTATAGTATACCAGAATTTTTTAAGTTTTCAAGCTCATCACAAGAAAGAATGAATCTATAATTCTGTTACTGAATCTAAGGTGTCACTTTTTCTTGAAGGTTTTATTTTTGAATTTAAACTACAAAGTCAATTTCCTTTCAAATGCCTTAAAAGATAAGCTATATTTCCTTCAACTGTGCAATACATAGACACACAAAAACATTATTTGAGGTGACCTGAATCTTTTCCTCTTACAGACGTAATGTATGTAGGGTCACCAGCAATAGGATAATGTTGACCAGGCAACGAAACCAAACATTAAAGACTGAATGTCTTAGTCTGTACAAAATAAACTTCGCCAAGCCAAATGCACTGATAGAATACCATTTATGCTGTCAGACAGTACCTATTTATTCTTTATTTGCATTCAGATCTAATAACTATTCTACCTAATATCTGTGACCACACAAGCTCCACGAGGACAGGAATTCTTGTGTTTTGTTCTCTGCTATGTAGACAATTATCTCAATTCTTGGCACATCATAAGCACTCAAATATTCAACGGTATTAGTAATGTTTTATTTCTTAACGAGTGGTTAGTATATGAGTGTTATACTATTCTTTTGTTGTTGTTGTTGTTGTTGTTTTTGAAGACGGAGTCTCGCTCTGTCACCCAGGCTGGAGTGCAGTGGCGCAATCTTGGCTCACTGCAACCTCCACCTCCCAGGTTCAAGCGATTCTCCTGCCTCAGCCTCCTGAGTAGCTGGGATTACAGGCATGCGCCACCACGCCTGGCTAATTTTTGTATTTTTAGTAAAGATGGGGTTTCACCATGTGGTCAGGCTGGTCTCAAACTCCCGACCTCATGATCCGCCCACCTCAGCCTCCCAAAGTGCTGGGATTACAGGCGTTAGCCACCGTGCCCGGCCTATACTAATCTTTATCTCTTTTGTCTTAATCATTTTTTTTTTTTTTTTTTTGAGATGGAGTCTTGCTCTGTCACCCAGGCTGGAGTGCACTGGCGCAATCTCGGCTCACTGCAACCTCCGCCTCCCAGGTTCAAGCAATTCTCCTGCCTCAGCCTCCAGAGTAGCGAGGACTACAGGCATGCACCACCAAGTGCGGCTAATTTTTGTATTTTTGGTAGAGATGGGGTTTCCGCATGTTGGCCAGGCTGGTCTTGAACTCCTGACCTCAGGTGATCCGCCCACCTCGGGCTCCCACAGTGCTGGGATTACAGGCGTGAGCCACCGCGCCCAGCCAATTGTAATATTTTTTAAAAGCACTAAATACATTTTACAAACCTCATAGCATTGCAATTATTCGGAAAGTCATCCAGAATAGAGTTACGAAATAAATATACAAAAATAGAACCTGAACTCATTCAGATTTATGACTTTTATTTTGTAGGGCACACCCTCAAGCTACCACTCAGCATTACTGACTCTCAACTCATACAAAATTCTCACAACCTTGGTTATCTGATTTCTCAAAACCACAATGAATCAAAGTGACTTTAAGAAAGCAGATATACGGATAGAAAAGATAGCAAATTCCAAAAGAAGAAATAAATTATTCTAAGAAAGCAAGGAAATATTAAGTTTTTAGAAAATTATATTTTCAATATTGCTAAGTTTGAGGGTCCTTAAAAGATAAATTACTTTATGGCCCTGGGCATGCTTTCAGATAAGTTATACATTCAATGGTTTGTTATTTTTTATTTTTTTCATATTTAATTAAATCAAGGGTTATTGCTAAGATCTCTTACTTTTATATCCTCTTAGATTATTTTATACTAACAACATTATATTCAAAGGTAATAGTGTCTCACTTATATAAATTTGCTAATTAACCTAAGTTGTTTTGTGGTTGTTATGGTTTTTTTTTTTTTTTTTTTTTTTTTTTTGAGACAGGGTCTCACTCTGTCGCCCAGGCTAGAGTGCAGTGACATGATCATAGCTCACTGTAACCTCCAATTCCTGGGCTCAAACAATCCTCCTGCTTCTGCCTCCTGAGTAGCTAGGACTACAGGCATGTGCCACGACCCCTGGTTAACTGTTCTTTTCTTTTTGTAGAGATGGGGTCTCACTACATTGCCCAAACTGGTCTCCAACTTCTGGACTCAAGCAATCCTCCCAACTCAGCCTCCCCAAGTGCTGGGATTACAGGCTTGAGCCACTGTGCCTGGCCTAACCTAAGTTTTAACACATAGTTTCATAATCAATCAACTAATCTGTATTGGGAATAGGAAGAAAAAATGAAAATAAACCAACCTAAAAAGTGATCAAAGTTTTATACTCATCAAATTATATAACTTATAGAGGCCTTAGAAATTGTGTACATAAACTCCCAATTTTATAAATGAATAAATTGAGGGCCAGTCGCAGTGGCTCATGCCTGTAATCCTACCACTTTGGGAGGCCAAAGAAAGTAGATCACTTGAGTCCAGGAGTTCAAGACCAGCCTGGGCAATGTGGTGAAACCTCATCTCTACAAAAAAAAAAAAAAAATACAAAAATTGGTTGGGCGTGGTGGCTCATGCCTGTAATCCCAGCACTTTGGGAGGCCAAGGCAGTCAGATGGCTTGATCTCAGGAGTTCGAGACCAGTCTGAGCAACATAGTAAAACCTCATCTCTACCAAAAATATAAAAAAATTAGCCAGGCATTGTGGCACACACCTGTGGTGCCAGCTACTTGGGAGGCTGAGGGGGGAGGATTGCCTGAGCCCAGGAGGTGGAGGTTGCAGTGAGCTGAGATCTTGCCACTGCAACTCCAACCTGGGCAACAGAGTGATATCTCATCTCAAAAATAAAAATTTTAAAAATAAAAAAAAATTACAAAAATTAGCCAGCTGTGGTGGCGTGTGCCTGGACAGAGCAAGACCTTGTCTCAAAAAAAAAAAAAAATTAATTAATTAAAAAAAGTGAGGTACAGCACTGTGGCTACATTACATGCTCCCTTGCTTCTCTAATATGTAAATTCTAGTATCTAACAACAGAGATTACTTTTTCAGAATAACATAAAATGACTAACAAACCTGTTTTAAACCAGGAACTTAAACAGAAATTTAATACTGCCATATAAAATCACCCCAAGGTGTTAATTGAGTCCTTAGGCATTTTAAGATGCTATATGAGATTCTGTGTATGATACTAAAAAGTTTTTAAATGACCTTTGTATTTGAAGATCATATGGCTGAGAAGACAAAGGGGAAGATTAAAAATAAAAAGTTAATATGTCAAGTGTTAAATTACAATATGGTCAGGTGCGGTGGCTCACGCCTGTAATCCCAGCACTTTGGGAGGCTGAGGTGGGCCAATCACTTGAGGTCAAGAGTTCGAGACCAGCCTGGCCAACATGGTGAAACCTCATCTCTACTAAAAATACAAAAATTAGCCAGGTGTGGTGGCACGTGCCTGTAATCTCAGCTACTCGGGAGGCTGAGGCACGAGAATCACTTGAACCTGGGAGGCAGAGGTTGCAGTGAGCTGAGATCCCGCTGCTGCACTTCAGCCTGGGTGACAGAGCGAAATTCTATCTCAAAAAAAAAAAAAAGTATTAAATTACAATAATACAAAAACAAAAGTTATGATAAAACTGAACAATATAAGCAATATGATAAATGAAGAGGTAATATATTAACTCAAAAGAGAGTAAGGCCAGGTGAAGTGGCTCACACCTGCAATCCCAGCACTTTGGGAGGCCAAGGAAGACGATCGCTTGAGGCCAGGAGTTCAAGACCAGCCTGGCCAACACGGAGAAACCCCATCTCTACTAAAAATACAAAAATTAGCCGAGTGTGATGGTGCACAACTGTAAGTCCCAGCTACACGGGAGGCTGAGGCAGGAAAATCACTTGAACCCAGGAGGTGGAGGCTGCAGTGAGCCACTGTACTCCAGCCTGTGACAGAGTGAGAGTAAAACAAAAATGGACTAGATTTGTCAAATAAGGCTTCGTAGATAATAATAGCTTTTTATATGAGTACTCAGTATACAAAGAGAAATGTGACTGATATGGAGAATGTGACAAGTGCCAAATATTTTCTTCCTTAAAAAAATTTGGCCGGGCGCAGTGGCTCACGCCTGTAATCTCAGCACTTTGGGAGGCTGAGGTGGGCGGATCACCTGAGGTCAGGAGTTCAAGACCAGCCTGCCCAACATGGTGAAACTCTGTCTCTACTAAAAACACAAAAATTAGCCGGGCGTGGTGGCGTGTGCCTGTAGTCCCAGCTACTCAGGAGGCTGAGCCAGAAGAATCGCTTGAACCCGGGAGGTGGAGATTGCAGTAAGCCAAGATCATGCCACTGCACTCCAGCCTGGGCGACAGAGTGAGATTCCATCTCAAAAAAAAAAAACAAAAAACAAAAAAAAAAAACTTATGGAGGAAAATAAGTTTTATTACTAAGGCATCATACATCTCTCCTATCCATTTATCATCAGTGAATTGAGCATCTTTAATGTATATGAACCAAATTCAGTATGTTGATTCTTAATTTCTTGGCACTTGAAAGGAATCTGGAGATAAATAAAGCATGAAAATGTACCACAGTCATCATTTAAGATCACAATGGGTGGTAAAGGTAGGTATTAACAGATCTTCCACTTACAGTAATGGTGAACTAAACGACTGGACCAACCCTCCCTCAAAAAAAAAAAAAAAAAAGCCAACATAAAAAGCTGAAAGAAATGAAAAAAAAAATGTAATTGCATAAAATCCTAACAAGAAAGGTAAAATGAGGAAAATAAGATAAACCATATATTCTGTCTAAAGGCATTTGCTGACTGTGGAAAGATGGCTGAGAGGTAGAGTGGCACTTCTTGTAGGGAGGAGAAGGTGGGCTCACTGCGAATCTGCTGGAAGCACTGAGAAGCAAGCTGCCATTTCTGGCAGACTAATAGAGCTGCACAAATGGGAATGGAAGTTCCATATTCTGCCAAAGGAGGAGACACACACTTTGGAAGTAAGGTTACAAATTCTATCCCAAGACCACCCAGGTAAACCAAAAAAATTCTGAAGCCTTGATTATACACTGTTAGCACCCTCAGGTAATGAAATTTCTCTCTAGAATCAACAAAAGCAACAGACAATCGCAACAACCAAAACGTCAAATACTGACTGGAGTTATCAGAAAGAGCATGATACAATTATGCTTACAATGTTCATGGGGATAAAGACAAGCTTTAAAGTTTCAGCAACAGACCAGGAGCCATAAAAAGTATCATTGGAAAAAAGAACCACCAGAAATTACAGAGCTAAAAAATACAACCCAACTTAGAAACTCAATGGAGTACTTAACGGCAGATTAAACACAGTTGAAGAAGTGATAAACTAGAAGGTAGGCCTGAAGAACTAATCCAGAATAAAGCATTGAAATGGAAAAGACAGAGTAAGAGGCCTAGAGGTTATAGTCAGTGGGCCTGACAGGGATTTCACCGGAGCCTAGAGGAGAAACAGAATGGGGCAGAGGCAACATTTAAAGAGATACAGGCCAAGCACAGTAGCCCACACCTGTAATCCCAACACTTTTGTAGGCCGAGGCAGGAGAATCCCTTGAGCCCAGGAGTTCGAGACCTGCCTGGGCAACATAGGGAGACCCCATCTGTACCAAAAAAAATGTTTTTAAATTAGCCAGGCATGGTGTCACGTGCCTATAGTCCCAGCTACTCAGGAGGCTAAGGCGAGAAGATTGCTTGAGCCAAGCATGTTAAGGCTGTAGTAAGCCATGATCTCTCTACTGCACTCAAGCCAGGGCAACAGAGCAAGACCCTGTCTCTAAAATAAAATAAAGAGATATAACTGAAGACATCTCAAGACTGATGAAATGATTTAATCCATTGATTCAGGAAACCCAGTGAAGCTTAACCAGGATAATGTGACAGAGTGCTTACAAAAAACGGCCACAATATAATTTCACTCCCAGTACCCATGTCCCTTTACAATACAACTTTGTAGCTCTTCATATCAAAAGGTAGAGTTTATTTCCCTACCCCTTGAATCTGGGGTTAACCAATAAAACGTGGTAGAAATGAAGTGCTAGTTCTGAGCCCAGACCTCGAGAGGCCTTGTATGTGTTTGTCTTTTGGAACCCTGCTGCTGTCACATGAACAGGCTCAGACTAACATACTGGCTAATGAGATATGTAGCCCAGTCAACTATATTGCCCCAGCCAACAAGCCAGCCAATCCACAGAAGCAGAGCTGCCTACCTGGCCTGGCTGGCAGCTAACTATAGACCCACATGGGAGCCCATGTGGAACCAAGACCACGTGGAGCAGAAAAGAACCATACAGCTGGGCCCAATCCAAACTACCAACCTACAGAATTATAAGCTAAATAAGTGACTGTTGTTTTAAGCCCTAAGTTTTGGGGTTTATTTCACAGCAAAGGGTAACTGACATAGAAAAGTAAAAACAAATCCACAGACATATCATAATGAAGCTACACAAAATTAAAGACAAAATCTTAAAAACAGGTAAGTGCTGGCCAGGCGCGGTGGCTCACGCCTGTAATCCCAGCACTTTGGGAGGCCAAGGCAGGTGGATCACAAGGTCAAAAGATCGAGACCATCCTGGCCAACATGGTGAAACCCTGTCTCTACTAAAAATACAAAAAAAAGTAGTCGGGTGTGGTGGCATGCACCTGTAGTCCCAGCTACTTGGGAGGCTGAGGCAGAAGAATCGGTTGAACCCGGGAGGCAGAGGTTGCAGTGAGCCGAGATCGCGCCACTGCACTCCAGCCTAGGCAACAAGAGTGAAACTCCATCTCAAAACAAAACAAAACAAACAAACAAACAAAAAAAACAGGTAAGTGCTAATATAATTTTTAGGAGAGAGAAATCATTGGATGGGGTTGATCTTTAAACATTCTAAGTATTTCAATTTAATAACAGTAGGAAGACAGGCATTCTAGGCAAAAATAATCACTATCTGAAGTGTAGTCAATTTTTTTTTGTGAAAATAAGGCCAAAAAGGTAGATGTGTTTGTTTAGAGTTAAGGGCTCATAGGCAAGCAGATATGGACTGTCTTCTAGCTTCACCACTAGCTGTGTGACCTCAGAGCAAGGTATTTCAACTCTGTACTTTGGTTTTCTCTTATTATAATGTAAATAATATCACTACTATCACCTACTCCTACTTGTTAAGGATTTTTAAATGTAAGTAATGTTGTGCTTCGCACAGTAAACTCTAGATGTTATTGACTTTCACTCTAGAGATGAAAACCACTAAAACTGTTGTGTTTGGGACAACAAAGAGAGAATCAGAATCTGAGTTAGAAGGGGCCTTTGAGGCTATCCTCAATAAAGTCTATCCTCCGTTGTGGCTCTCCTATTCTAAAGCTTTATGTGAGATAATAAATACAATGCATAATATGCACAAAAGCAGCCTATAAAATGGAGGAAATGCTTTTCCTCTGGCTAATTTCTTATATAAACTTTAGACAGCTGTGTTAATTCACAGTTATGGGAAAGCATTTCTAACTGAGTTTTTAACAAGAAAACGAGCATAGTCTGGTAGGTTTAAAATGAGCTTTTTAGAGTAGATGAACCTGGATTCAAATACAAGCACTGCCCCTTTCTAGCTATTCATTAATTCAACCACGTTTATTGAACAACTACTGTTACAGATATCCCAATTGCTAGGAACACACAGTATTGATGTTTTAGAAACAATGTATTCCATTATTCTTTAATATGGAATCCTTTGTTACTCAGCTCCTAAAAAAAACACCCAAAAACCTTCATTAAAAGTACATACAAGAAAAAATACATTAAAAAAAAACACACTGATATATTTCAAGGGTATTTCTCTTAAAGCATATAGCTGGTAGAACTGATGTTGTTGTAAGGATAAATATCCTGCTACATTCTTGCCCACATAGGAAATGCAGGCAAGGCCAAGACTTTTCTCAGAAAGCAGCTCTGAAGGAGTTATGGCTAAGACTGCACTGGCTATCAGTTATCAAGCACATTATTTCATTTAATCTTCACAATAACACCATGTGGTAGACTGCTACAGTAACGGCTTCCAATGAATCGTGTCTCCCTCTGTCCAGGCTCCTTTGCAATGTAACTTTGCCACTAAAGAGGTAGTAGTAAGCTCCATTTCCCCTCCCCTTGAATCTGGGCTGGTCTTCTGATTTACTTTGACCAGTACTAGAGAACTGACGTGAGACTTCCTAGGCTATCCTTAAGAGGTCTTGCGACTTCCCCTCTCATAGGCACCTAAGAAAGCCCAAGCTAAACTACTGAATGAGAGACTGTGCAGAGAGAGAGAGAGATCCAGGCAAGAGCAAGATATGCATGTGAGTCCCGCCCCAGGTGTGTTGCCAGCTGACTATATCTGCATGAGTGAGCCCAGACAAGACCAGCAAAGCAGTCCAGTCAACCCATAGAATCCTGAGAAATCATAGTTGTTTTACACTGGTTAAGTTTTTGGTTTGTTACAAAGCAACAGATAACTGAAGCACGCTTTAAGTACTATTGTTTATCTCCAATTCAGACCTGAAGAAGTAAATACTTAAGTTTCAGAATTCTGCAAATACTTGCAAAGCTCTATTTCTTTTGATAACTAATGCACTTATTCTTCTTTAACAAAATAAAAAGTAAAGGAAGCATGGGGAAAAATATAAGCTGATTTTACTTTCATCCATATAAAAATTACAAGCAGAAAGGATTGAGCCATGAAGACATATTTAACTTATTTCCAACCCATACAATAAGTGAATATATATTTACTGACAGCTTAATAGTAACAACAACAATCTTACCGCACTTTCTATATGTCAGGTACTGTTCTACGTGATATAAGTGTGGTAAGTATATATGCACACACATACTCATCTTGTCCTCAGATAATGTCAGACAAGAATAAGTCCTATTATTATCTTCATTTTCCTGAGTGGGAAAATGCAGCACAAAGTAGTTAAGCCCAAAATATACGGCTGAATTTCCCACTGATAAAAGTAGATTACGTTTGCCACCAGAGAAAAGGCAGCCTAGCCTACTTAAAACAGTCAGAATTTCAATGACCAGGTTAGAACAGGTGTATCCCATTAATATACATCAAAGTGATTTCAGCTGTCAGGATGTAAACATTAAGATCAACTTGAGAGGCATACTTTATTTACTTATTTATTTACGGAGACGGGTGGCGGCGGGGGGGGGGGTCTCACTATGTTGCCCAGGCTGGTCTAGAACTCCTGCCCTCAAGTGATCCTCCCTCTCAGATCTCTCAGGCCTCAAGTGATCTCAGCCTCTCAAAGTGCTGGGATTACAGGCGTGAGCCACTGCACCCGGCCTAGAGAGGCATACTTTAAACAGAAAGCATGTTCATTACAAAAGAGAAATGCTGTGACATCTACAAAGAGAAAATGAACAATATACGTCTACCTACCTATGCTTAATACTGTTGACAACTGCTTGCAGAACAGGCACGTCACACATTTTAACTTGGAGTGAACCTAAGCATTCTATATAAATTTCGACAAAATTCAGATTCCTGCAAACATCACTACTGTAGACATCCTGACCCACGATATGAGCACATTCCGCCTATGTGCCATCAGAGTTGGTGGCAGAGAAAATACCCGAAACACAAGGACCCACAGAAGACAGTCTGAATGGTCTGGACGACATGACAGCGGCCATACCGCCTCAACCTCAGCCAGCCCCAAGAAGCCATCTCCCCGAAAAACGCAGCATCAAGGCCCCAGAATATACATTTCTCTGAATCAAAAAAAAAGAGGAGGAAGGTCCAAAGAGAGGCCAGATTCGGTGTGAGGCCGGCCAGCGATGGGAAGAGGTACCAGGGAAGGCTACTAAGGCCAGGGTAGCAGTCGTCTCTCAGACCGCTGTTCCAAAATCCTAAGGGACCAGAAAGATTCTATCAAGAACTGAACAAGCTGACAATCATTTCAAGTCTATAGCCTCGAAGGCCCCTGCACAAGGTCCCCTCCAGCTTTCTGCTTCTCCCAACATTTGCCTCCCCAGCCGACCTCAGGCCCGCCCCCTTGGACGTCAGGCCGGCTCCTAGCTTCACGCCCAAGAGCCGTGGCCAACCTAAGGAGATTAAGGCTGTGGCTTTCTTTCCCCACCTCTGTACTCCCGCGTTCCTGGGAAATACTCACTTGCCAGCCAGATCTTTATGAGAGCCGCTCGAATTCATGAGCTGGGCCAAATCCTGTCGCACGGCTGCCGCCATCTTTCTCCCAGCTCAGCGGTGGATGCGGGGGCCTCTGGCAGCCAAAAAGAAAACGAGTGTGGTCCTCCAGAGTGCAGCCAGAGGGAACCTGAGATGCTACAGAGTAGCGTCTGTGTGGGCCAGAGCGTCGGGTGTGGGAGCCTGGGCTAGCTCCGCCCCCAGGGTTGAGTGATGCGGAGCTCCACTCCTCAGGTCTGAGGCCTGCCCAGGTCTCTCCTACAGGCTCTGGCTCTCACGCTTGGACTTTGGATTGGCTGATGAACTCCAGTAGTGAGTCTCTGGTGTAACTCCAATGAGTAGCCGGTACATAAAACGACTGCGTTTTCGCAAAGTTCCGTTTCTCACGTCTGTGGTTTACCGTCCTTCGATCTTTCAGGCAGCGCTTAAACTGCCTGTGGTAAAGAATGAGTTTTGTTTCCGATTCACCACAGAAGATACTTTTTAGAAATACAATTAAAATGTCCCTATTCCTCCTCCCACTCCGTGCACTTTATAATGGTTGGTCAGACATTCCAGTTTGTCCAGTACAAAGCGATTTTCCCTCTGTCGTCCTGGAGTAATGATTAATATCCCCCCTTTCGGCCGGGCGCGGTGGCTCACGCCTGTAATCCCAGCACTTTGGGCAGCCGAGGCGGGCGGATCACGAGGTCAAGAGATCGAGGCCATCCTGGCTAACACGGTGAAACCCCGTTCTCTACTAAAAATACAAAAAAATTAGCCGGGCGTAGGTGGTGCACCCCTGTAGTCCCAGCAACTCGGGAGGCTGAGGCAGGAGAATGGCGTGAACCCGGGAGGCGGAGTTTGCAGTGAGCCGAGATCGCGCCACTGCACTCCAGCCTGGGAGACACAGCGAGACTCGGTCTCAAAAAATAATAATAATAATAATAACATCCTCCCTTTCATTCTAGAAACCGTTCCATTTCAATGGAAGATTATATGGTCGCCTGCGTTTGTATAACATTCAATACTCATGTATTCTTATAGAATTTCTGCAAATACAAGCAAATATTAATAAAATAAAATTTTACCTCTCACAAGCAACACCACATAATTGTTCTGCCTTGGTTTTTTTTTTTTGCACTTTTCCTGGTACTGTGGTTTGAAATAATTGTCTTCTCCAAAACTCATGTTGAGGGCTGGCGCCGTGGCTCACGTCTGTAATCCCAGCACTTTGGGAGGCCGAGGTGGACGGATCACCTGAGGTCGGGAGTTCGAGACCAGCCTGACCAACATGGAGAAACCCCGTCTCAACTAAAAATACAAAAATTAGCTGGGTGTGGTGGCACGTGCCTGTAATCTCAGCTACTCGGGAGGCTGAGGCACGAGAATCACTTGAAGCTGGAAGGCGAAGGTTACGGTGAGCCAAGATTGCACCACTGCACTCCAGCCTGGGCAACAAGAGGGAAATTCCGTCTCAAAAAAAAAAAAAAAAACAAACAACTCATGTTGAAACTTCATCTTTAATGTGGCAGTATTTAGAGGTGGGCCTTAAATAGGTGATTGGATCATGAGGGCAAAACCCTTGATCTATTCATGGATTAATGGGTTGTCATGGGAGAGAACATGTGGCTTTATTAGAAGAGGAAGAGACCTGAGCTAGCATGTTAGGAAGGTCACTCCCTTGCCATGTGATACCCTGTGCTGCTTCTGAACTCTAGCAAGTCCCCACCAGCAAGAAGGGTCTCATTAGATGTGGCCCCTTGACCTTAGACTTCTTGGCCTTCATAACTCTAAGATATAAATTCCTTTTCTTTATAAATTACCCAGTTTCAGGTATTCTGGTATAAGCAACAGAAAACAGACTAAGACAGCTGGACATCTTACCAGCTGTCCAGTCTTTCAAAATCACTCTTTTTGGAGCTAGAGGATATTACACAGTGAGAGTATGCCTTAGTTTATTTAATCCTTATAGGACATGTTATTTTTAATCAATGCGATGAATAACCTTTGCATACATTATATATGTACAGGTAGAACACATTACCAGAAATGAGGCAAAGGATAGACATACAATTTTGGTAGATATTGCCAAATTGCATTTTATAGGAATGGTATCATTTTGCCTTCCTACCAGAAATATATAGGGGTGCAGCTTCCTACAGCCTTGACTACAAAGGATGTCAAACTTTTGGATTTTTGCCATCTTGATGTGTGATAAATGGCATATTCCCTCTATTGGGAAAGAGAAAGAGAAGAATACCTGAAGAAGGAATCCCTTTTAAGAATGTGTATTAGTCTGTTCTCAGCCAGGCGTGGTGGCTCATGCCTGTAATACCACCACTTTAGGAGGCCAAGGCAGGTGGATCACCTGAGGTCAGGAGTTCGAGACCAGCCTGCTCAACATGGTGAAACTCTTTCTCTACTAAAAACACAAAAAATTAACCAGGCGTGGTGGCGGGTGCCTGTAGTCCCAGCTACTTAGGAGGCTGAGGCAGGAAAATCGATTGAACACAGGAGGCGGAGGCTGCAGTGAGCTGAGATCGTGCCACTGCACTCCAGCCTGGGTGGCAGAGTGAAATCTCAAAAATAAAATAAATAAAAAAAGAATGTATATTAGTCTGTTCTCACACTGCTATAAAGAACTACCTGAAACTGGGCAATTTGTAAAGAAAAGAGATTTAGGCCGGGCATGGTGGCTCACGCCTGTAATCCCAGCACTCTGGGAGGCCGAGGCGGGTGGATCACGAGGTCAGGAGATCGAGACCGTCCTGGCTAACACGATGAAACCCCGTCTCTACTAAAAATACAAAAAAATTAGCCAGGCGTGGTGGCGGGCGCCTGTAGTCCCAGCTACTCGGGAGGCTGAGGCAGGAGAATGGCGTGAACCCGGGAGGCGGAGCTTGCAGTGAGCCGACATCGTGCCACCGCACTCCAGCCTGGGCGACAGAGCGAGACTCCGTCTCAAAAAAAAAAAGAAAAGAGATTTAAATGACTCATAGTTCCACAGCCTTACAGGAGGCATGACTGGGGAAGCCTGAGAAAACTTACAATCATGGTGGAAGGGCAAAGGGGAAGAAAGTATGTCATCACATGAAGGCAGGAGAGAGAGAGAACACAAAGCGGGAGGTGCTACAGACTTTCAAACAACCACATCTCATGAGATCTCATTCACTATCACCAGAACACAAGAGGGAAATCTGCCGCCATGATCCAATCACCTCCTACCAGGTCCCTTCCCCAACACTGGGGATTACAATTCAACATGAGATTTGAGTTGGGGTACAGAGCCAAACCATATCAGAAAGTTAGGAGATTGCCCACATCAATTCGGATCATGTTCCATTGGCAAGAACTTAATCATATGACCACCAATGAGACTAGAAATTTAATTTCCAGTTGGGCAGCCTTGTGCCCAGAAATAGGAAAGAATGAGTTTAGAGGGACAATCAGCAGTCTCTACTACAATATGTCCCTCTGACCACCTGAATATCCACATGTCCTTTGATGGTAATTTTAGGTATCAACTTGATTGGATTAAGGAATACCAAGAAAACTAACTGTTACAGCATTATATTAGTGTGTGTCTGTGAGGGTGTTTCCAGAGGAGATTGGCATGTGAGTCTGAGTGGACTAAGTGAAGAAGATCTGCCCTTAGTGTGGGCAGGCACCATCCAGTTAGCTGGGCCCAGACAAAACAAAAACAGAGAAAAGGTGAATTGGTCTCTCTCTCCTGAAGCTGAGAAACACACTTCTTCTCCTGGCCTTGGACATCAGGCTCTCCGACCTTTGGACTCCAGGACTCACACCAGCAGCGCCCTGGGTTCTCAAGCTTTCGGACTTGGATTAAGCCATGCTGCCAGAATCCCAGGGTCTCTGACTTGCAGACTGCTTGATGTGGGACTTCTCAGCCCCCACAATCACATATCACAAGATCCAATTCCCCTAATAATTCCCCTCTCATATCATTATTTATATATATATATATATCTCCTATTGGTTCTGTCTCTCTGGAGAACCCTGAATAATATAGCTTCTTCTCACAGTAGAGCCTCCTTCCTCCCTCCCTAGGGAAGAAAGCTCAATTTCCCATTCATTTTCTACATCAGCTAAAAATTCAGGATATCTGGTGATGCAGAAACCTATCACATTGGGATGTGGTGTTTCATGTTCCAGAGATGTATACACTGTAAAACAACTGATGTGTCCTATGCCCATACATCCAATAAAAACCAACAGTGGAGCAGAAACAGGCCAATCACAGTTAAAACTCAGACAAAGGAAGAATGGGAAACACAGCAGTTACTGGCCCGTAACAATGGCAGAATCCTGGGAAGGAAGTATGGATACTCACTGCCCTGATAATGGAATAAGTTCCTTGGTCAGTCCTTGGTTCTGCTGAGAGGATTTCTATTGTTTGTTGTATTGTGTGGGTGCAAGCTTTACCTTCTGAATACAAGTTAACTGGATGTTGAGTATATTTCCTTTTTGAGAATGCCTTAGTGCTTGAACACTTGAGGGCTTTTGTAGGCCAGGCTTTTTGGGTGTTTGCTTTTTTTTTTTTTAAATAATTCCATTGAATATTCAATAAGTTCTACGTGCTTCCAGACAGTTTCAGATGCCAGTAAACACACCCAAAGTTATTTCTCGAAGCAGTTATCAAACTTGCCTTAAATCCTAGCTTCTTTGCTCAACCTATTTTTAATGCCCTCTTTGTAATGGTGGCAGCTGTGAAATAATCTGAAACAGTAGGCTTAAATGAGAAGAGAACTCTATCCATTTGATTTGGCTTTAGCTTATTTTTATTTTCTGTTGTTTTTGTTTGTTTGGTTGGTTGGTTGTGTTTGCCAAGAAGTCTTAAAGGGCTATGAAAAATCTGTAAGCCAAGTCTTTTCTTCTGCTATTTCAAGATACATAAACAGTTGGCTTTTTCAACTTAGTGAAGGCTCAGAATTTCTGGACATTTCATTCCCTTCTTAACTTGACTTCACACTTGACTTGCAACACCTTACCCAAGGCAACAAAAAGCCACATACACAAGCTGGCCCTTTTCAGATACTTCCATTAGCCACAAGCTGGGGAAGATTTCCTGCTTTCCTAATTGTTGGAGGCAGCAATTTTACTAAATATTTTGACCTACAAAGGACTTCTCTTTCCAGACTGCTCATTCCCCTTGCCCTGACTCTAACAGAATATTACATATTTTTAGATTTTACTTACAACAGTGAAGAAAAGCAAACCTGGATGGCCCTGGAGGCTTATTCTCTCCTTTTCAGTTATTTAGCAAGAGGTTAGCAAGACACATCTTAATGAACTCAAGGGAACTGCACAAATCCTAGCTCTTCTTTTACCATGCAAAATCTTCAATTCTAGCCCAAACTAAATAGAAACCGTCATGTTAGCAAAATCCTAGTAATCCTTGCATGTTAAAGTTTGAGAAGATCTAGCAGATGTCAACACCATTGGTATTTGTCTTAGTCTGTTTTCTGCTGCTTATAACAGAATACCTGAAACTGGGTAACTTATAAAGAAAAGGAATTTATGTCTTACAGTTATGGAGGCTGAGAAGTCCAAGGTAAAGGAGCCATATCTGATCAGGGCCTCCTTGCTGATGTACAGGGCATCACAGGGTGAGGGGGCTAAGCATACTTGCTCTGGTCTCTCTTTCTCTTCTTATAAAGCCACCATTTCAACTCTCATGGGAACCCTTTAATCCATAAATCCATTAATTCATTAATGGATTAATCCATTCATGAAGGCAGACCCTTTACGATCCAGTCACCTCTTAAAGGTCCACCTCTCAATAATGTCACATTAGGGAATCACTTTCAACATGAGTTTTGAAGGGGATAAACATTCAAACAATAGCATTGTATAAATTACCCCCGCTAACAAGGCCGTTTCCTTGGCCAGGAATCTCCTGTTGTTGCAGTCTACTAGATGGTCTCTACCTTCTCACAGCTTCCCTACAAAGATAAAAAAGTTATCCAGAAGCCTCTTTCCTGACACATATTCTACTATACATCCACTGTGCCCAGCCCAAATATGCCTCACTACAGAAGGGAAAAGAGCATAAGTGATTGTCCATACAGTACTGTGCTGTTTTCTGCACGTGAATCCTTCCTCTATGCTTACTCCATGTGTTGCTAGTGCTGTGTGACAGTTGGTTTTACAGTCATCTGGTGTGTTTCCTGCCTAGATCTAGAATCGGTCATTTCTCCAAGAAGCCTTTTTCCTTTTAGTGGGGATGATAATTATAAATAACAGTCCAAGTGCTAAGAATGCTCGTTGCTACTATATCAGTCATTTGGAGACCTTTTTTGTAGGACAGAACTAGGAAATATGTATGTATTTTAAGGGTGAAGTGATTAATGAGGGCATACTGATAATTCCAATTTAGGTTGTTTTACTTAAACCTCTTCTATATTACATCTGTATCTCCTTATTTCCACACCCAGAATCCTGATTCACAGCACATAAGGAATATTACATAATTACTCATTTTATTCATCCACATTACACACACAACAGCCTCAGAATAATAATACTTATACTACCACCCCCAATACGATTACTGATAACAGTTAAATATTTTCCCACATTTCGTATTATAATAGCCATATTGTAAGCACATATAGCCATTACAAACTGTATTGTCTTCCTTTTTCTTATTTTTTGAGATAGGATCTCACTCTGTTGTCCCAACTGGAGTGCAGTGCCATGATCTCAGGTCACTGTAGCCTTGACCACCTGGGCTCAAGTGATCCTTCCACCTCAGCCTCCTGAGTAGCTGGGACTACAGGCATGCCTCACCCATCACCATGCCTGGCTAATTTTTCAACTTTTTGTAGAGACAGGGTTTCACCATGTTGCCCAGGCTGGTCTCGAACTCCTGAGCTCAAGCAATCCACCTGCCTTTCCTCCCAAAATGCTGGGATTACAGGTGTGAGCCATGGCACCTGGCCTTATTTTCTTCCTTTTAATCTTCATGTATTCTTTTTTTTTTTTTTTTTTTTTTGAGACGGAGTCTCACTCTGTCACCAGGCTGGAGTGCAGCGGCATGATCTCGGCTCACTGCAACCTCCACCTCCCAGGTTCAAGCAATTCTCCTGCCTCAGCCTCCTGAGTAGCCGGGACTACAGGCACGTGCCACCACACCCAGCTAGTTTTTGTATTTTTAGTAGAGACAGGGTTTCACCATGTTGGCTAGGATGGTCTCGATCTTGACCTCGTGATCTGCCCGCCTCGGCCTCCCAAAATGCTAGGATTACAGGCGTGAGCCACCGCGCCCAGCTAATCTTCATGTATTCTTAGGTCAGTAAGCACTACATATTGAATGTGCACCATCAGCTCTTTTATTGATATATCTCTAGTCTTTGGTTTTCTGTTAAAGAAGCTAGTTCTTTAATAGATTGTTCAGGCAGGACTCAGAATCCATATTCTTGCATGTTCTTGAGTATTGGTAACATCTTGTGCCTTTTATGTTTGTTATCAGTTTTGTTGGATATAATAAACTTTGATTCACTTTTCTTAAGAATCTTAAGTGTGGTTCTTCATTTTTTTTTTGGCATAAAGCATCAAAATATCTGATGAGAGTCTAATTTTCTATCTCTCAGTATTTTAAGAGACAGGGTCTTACTCTGTCACCCAGGCATTACCCCATTAATGTATTAATCCATTCATGAGGACAGACCCCTCATGATCTCAGTTACCTTTTAAAGGCCCACCTCTCAATAATGCCACATTGGGGGTTAGGTTTCAATATGAGTTTTGGAAAGGATAAACATTCAAATAATAGCATTATATGAGTGCAGTGGCATGATCATAGTCACTGCAGCCTTGAACTTCTGGGCTCAAGCAGTCCTCCCACCTCAGCCTTCCAAGTAGCTGGGACTACAGGCACACTGGCCACTATATCCAGCTAATTCTTTAAATTTTTTGTAAGAATAGGGTCTTGTTTTGTGCCCAGTCTGGGCTTGAACTCTTGGGCTCAAGCAATTCTCCCACCTTAGCCCCGCAAAGCGCTGGGATTATAGTCATGAGCTACTGCACTCTATTTTCTTTCTCTTATAAGTCACTTACTCTTTTTGCTTAGATGCCCCAAGCTTTTTTTCTCATGCCTGTAATCCCAGCATTTTGGGAGGCGGAGGCAGGCAGATTGTTTGATTTCAGGAGGTCGACACCAGCCTGGGCAATATGGCAAGACTCTGTCTCTACAAAAAAACACAAAAATTAGCCAGGCATGGTGGCATGCACCTGTAGTCCCAGCTACTCGGGAGACTGAGGTGGGAGGATAGCTTGAGCCCAGGAGGTTGAGGCTGCAGTGAGCTGTGATCATACCACTGCAGTCCAGCCTGGGCAACAGAGTGAGATTCTGTCTCTAAAAATGAAAAACAAAGATGTTGGAACTATCCAACAGGGAATTTAAGATAATTATGATACTGTGTTAAAGTTTCAATTAAAAATATAGGCCAGGGGCTGTGGCTCACACCAGTAATCCCAGCACTTTGGGAGGCCAAGGCAGGTGAATTGCTTGGGCTCAGGAGTTTGAGACCAACCTGGGAAACATGGCAAAACCCCATCTCTACAAAAAATACACACAAAAAATTTAGTCAGTGTAGTGGCATGTGCCTGTAGTCCCAGCTAGCAGCTGGGACTGGAAAGCTGAGGTGAGAGGACCCTCTTAGCCCAGAAAGTTTGAGGATGCAGTGAGCCATGATTGTGCCACTGTACTCCAGCCTGGGCAACAGAGTGAGACCATGTCTCAAAAAAAAAAAAAAGAAAGAAAATGTATACAGCATGAATGAACAGATGAGGAATTAAAACAGAGGGAAGAGGTCGGGCGCAGTGGCTCACGCTTGTAATCCCAGCACTTTGGGAGGCCGAGGTGGGCGGATCACAAGGTCAGGAGATCGAGACCACGGTGAAACCCCGTTTCTACTAAAAATAGAAAAAATTAACCAAGCGTGGTGGTGGGTGTCTGTAGTCCCAGCTGCTGGGAGGCTGAGGCAGGAGAATGGCATGAACCCGGGAGGCAGAGCTTGCAGTGAGCCGAGATCGCACCACTGCACTGGAGCCTGGGCAACAGAGCGAGACGCTGTCTCAAAAAAAAAAAAAAAAAAAAAAAAAAAAAAAAAAAAAAAGAGGGCAGAAATGAAAAGAAAATGTAAAAAGGAAATGCTAAAAATAAAAAGACTTGTTAACAGGGACAAAGAATGTCTTCAATGTGCTCATGAGTAGACTCAGCACAGCCAAAGAAAGAATCAGGGAACTTAAAAATAGGTCAATAGAAAGAGCCCAAACTAAAAGAACTAAAGTAAAAAAAAAAAAGAAAAGTGAGAGCAGATAGAGAAGGGATAGTGCTGTGGTTTAGATATCTGACCCCTTCAAACTTCATGTTGAAATTTGATCTCCATTGTTGAAGGCAGGGCCTAATGGGAACAGATCCTTCATGACTGGTGTGGTGGTGTCCTCATGGTAATGAGTGAGTTCTTGCTCTAGTAGTTCCCATTAGAGCTGGTTGTTAAAAAGAACCTGGCACCTCCCCCCTTCAGTCTCTTGTGTCTCCTCTTGCCATGTGATCTCTGCACATGCTAGCTTCCCTCCCCTTTCTTCCATCAGCAGAAGCAGCCTGAAGCCCTCACCAGGAGCAGATGCTGGTGCCATGCTTCTTATACAATCTGCAGAACTGTGAGCCAAATAAGCATTTTTTCTTTATAAATTACCCAGCCTTGGGTATTTCTTTTATTTTTTGAGATGGAGTCTTGCTCTGTCACCCAGGCTGGAGTGCAGTGGCACAATCTCAGCTCACTGCAAGCTCCGCCTCCCGGGTTCACACCATTCTCCTGCCTCAGCCTCCCAAGTAGCTGGGACTACAGGCACCTACCACCATGCCCAGCTAATTTTTTGTATTTTTAGTAGAGACAGGGTTTCACTGTGTTAGTCAGGATGGTCTTGATCTCCTGACCTCGTGATCCACCCACCTTGGCCTCCCAAAGTGCTGGGATTACAGGTGTGAGCCACCGTGCCTGGCTGGGTATTTCTTTATAGCGATACTAAGACAGACTAAGAAAGAATCTCCAAGAGCTGTGGAACAAAATGATTCAACATACGTATAATTGGAATCCAAGAAGGAAAAGAGAGAAAAAATGATGCAGAAAAAAAGATTTGAAGAGATAGTAGCAAATAATTATCCAAAAATTATGAAAGATATCAAACCACACATCCAGGAATCTCATAGAACCTCCAGAAGGATGAAACATATACACCCACATAGGCACATAATATTTAAATTGCTGAAAACCGAAGATAAAGAGAAAATCTTTTTTTTTTCTAAGAGATGGAGTCTCACTCTTCCTCCCAGATGAGGATACAGTGGCACCTTCTTAGCTCACTGCAGCCTCGAACACCTGGGTCCAAGCAATCTTCCTGCCTCAGCCTCCTGAGTAGCCAGGACTAACTACAGATGTGCACCACCACACCCAGTTAATTTTTTTTTTTTTTTTTGAGATGGAGTCTTGCCCTTTTCACCCAGGCTGCAGTGCAATGGCATGATCTCGTCTCACAGCAGCCTCTGCCTCCCAGGTCCAAGGGATTCTCCTGCCTCAGCCTCCTGAGTAGCTGAGATTACAGGTGCCCACCACCATGCCCATCTAATTTTTGTATTTTTAGTAGAGATGGGGTTTCACCATGTTGGCTAGGCTGGTCTCGGACTCCTGACCTCAAGTGATCCGCCCACCTCAGCCTCCCAAATTGCTGGGATTACAGGCATGAGTCACTGTGTCCAGCCAAAAAGAAAATCCTAAAGGCAGCCAGAAAAAAGAAAAAAAAAGGCACATTACTTACAGAGGAATTACAACAGACTTCTGGTCACAAATTATACACCTCAGAAGGTAATGGAGTGACATGCTAGCAGTGGAAGGGAAGGCTTCTGGACCTTACATTCTGATGGTTCTCCCTTGAGATGTCCCCTCCATTTGGGGATTATTCACTTAAACATTATTGCCCTCATAAACAGAAACTAATGGCCACACCTCTCTCATAACATTCTGACACACATGTAGACATTAACTTTTCCTTTAATTTACCTAAGCAGCAGTAAATAACAGTGTATTAGTCCATTTTCATACTGCTATAAAGAACTGCCTGAAACTGGGTTATTTATTTATTTTTAAATTTTACTTTAAGTTCTGGGATACATGTGCTGAACGTGCAGGTTGGTTACATAGGTATACATGTGCCATGGTGGTTTGCTGCACCTATCAACCCATCGTCTATGTTTTAAGCTCTACATGCATTAGGTATTTCTCCTAATGCTATCCTTCCCCTTGCCCCCCACATCACACAGTGATGTCCCCCTCCCTGTGTCCATGTGTTTTCATTGTTCAGCTCCCACTATGAGTGAGAACATGCAGTGTTTGCTTTTCTGTTTGTGAGTTAGTCTGCTGAGGATGATGGTTTCCAGCTTCATCCATTTCCTGCAAAGGACATGAACTCATTCTTTTTTATGGCTGCATAGTATTCCATGGTGTAAATGTGCCACATTTTATTTGTCCACTCTAACACTGATGGGCATTTGGGTTGGTTCCAACTCTTTGCTATTGTAAATAGTGCGGTAATAAACATATGTGTGCATGTGTCTTTATAGTAGAATGATTTATAATCCTATGGGTATATGCCCAGTAATGAGATTGCTGGGTCAAATGGTATTTCTGGTTCTAGATCCTTGAGGAATCACCACACTGTCTTCCACAATGTTTGAACTAATTTACACTCCCACCAACAGTGTAAAAGCATTCCTCTTGCTCTGCATCCTCACCACCATCTGTCGTTTCCAGACTTTTTAATGATCACCATTCTAACTGGCATGAGATGGTATCTCATTGTGGCTTTCATTTGTATTTCTCTAATGACTGAGACTGGGTTATTTATAAAGGAAAGAGGTTTCATTTATTCAGTTCAGCATGACTAGGGAGGCCTCAGGAAAATTACAATCATGGCAAAAGGCAAAGGGGAAGCAAAGCACCTACTTCACAAGGCGGCAGCAAGGAGAAATGCTGAGCAAAGGGGGAAGAGCCTCTTATGAAACCATCAGATCTCATAAGAACTCACTCACTGTCATGAGAACAGCATGGGGGAACTGCCCCCATGATTCAATTACCTCCACCTGGTCTCTCCCTTGACACGTGGGGATTATGGGGGTTACAATTCAAGATGAGATTTGGGTGGGGACACAAAGCCTAACCATATCAAACAGGATCATTCAGCAATGGTTAAGATTTTCCTCAGGGTTGGGGAAAGCAAAAGGAAATTACACATATATGATGTGGCTGACCCAGTGCTTCTAATGGTCTTTCCTCACCTCCCAGATGAATCATGACAGTCTATGCCAGAGACTGCAAACATTTTCTATAAAGGGCCAAATAAAAAATGTAGACTTTAGGCCACATGTGGTCTCTGTGACTGCTGCTTCTTTTTCTTCTACAATCCTTATAAAGTATAAAAATCAAAACCAAAAATGTTCTTAGCTTATGGGCTGGACAAAAATCTAAAATTTTTATTTAGACCACATATGGTCTCTTTAGTGCTGCAACAGCTGCAGCAGTTGCTGCGATTGCTTTTTCCTCTATAATCCTTTAAAAATGTAAAACACATACATTCTTAGCTTGCAGTCTGGACAAAAATAGGCAATGAGCTGGATTTGGCCTGTGGGCCTTCCTTTGCTGACCCCTGCTCTAGGCCACTTTTTCTGGCTAGTGAATGGTTTGAGAACAAGTATATGGTCCAGGTTTGACCAGCACATCATGATGGAAAGCCTTCTGGGGAACAGGTTTAACTTGCTTATGGGAAGAAGCACATGGGATGAATACTCTTCCTCTGAGGCTGATATCTGTGTATTGTGTGTAGTATTTTTTCTTTCTTTTTTTGAGACAGAGTTTGCTTTGTTGCCCAGGCTGGAGTGCAATGGTACAACCTCGGCTCACTGCAACCTCTGCCTCTCAGGTTCAAGCAATTCTCCTGCCTCAGTCTCCTGAGTAGCTGGGATTACAGGTGACCGCCACCATGCCCTGTTGATTTTTTGCATTTTAGTAGAGATGGGGTTTCACCATGTTGCCCAGGCTGGTCTCAGACTCTTGAGCTTAGGCAATCTGCCCATCTCGGCCTCCCAAAGTGCTAGGCATTAGCCACCTCACCCGGCTGTGTGTAGTATTTCTATGTATGATCCTAGATGATAACCATGAGAAAGCAAGCCTAAGAATAAAGGGAAAGTCTTGAGGATGGTAGCATGCAAAGGAAGTCAATGTCTTTAATGACATCTTTTCTCTGTGGAATTATCTTAGAAAAGCCATTTCTATGCTATTCATTTTATGAGATATAAAGTATAAGCTACTGAAAGCAGCCTAGTTACTACAGATAGTAAGCTACCATTATGTAGCAGAGAGTTTTGTGGGTAGCTTTGTGAGTTCCAGGCCCCAGAATTTTTACACTGGAGGAGCAAAGAGCAGCAGTTTGATTGGATAAGAAAGTTAATGCTATACAGGCATAGCAATTTACATAAGACCACAGTTACTTTTCTATGTCAAAGAAAAGGGTGTTTTCATGGAGAGTTTAAGATGTTGGGCCGGGCGCAGTGGCTCACGCCTGTAATCCCAGCACTTTGGGAGGCCGAGGCGGGCAGATCACGAGGTCAAGAGATCGAGACCATCCTGGCTAACACGGTGAAACCCCGTCTCTACTAAAAATACTAAAATTAGCCAGCTGTGGTGGCACATGCCTGTAGTTCCAGCTACTCGGGAGGCTGGGGCAGGAGAATTGCTTGAACCCAGCAGGTGGAGGTTGCTGAGATCACGCCCATTGCCCTCCAGCCTGGGTGACAGAGTGAGACTCCGTCTCAAAAAAAAAAAAAAAAGATGCTAACGTACTCTAATCCTCTCCTATTGTGCAACACATCCAAGGGGTCTTTATAGTTATCTCTTGTAGTTTGGATCATTGCTCCCAAATCTTTATTTCCTCTCTGTGCTAGAATGATATATCTACACATTTCACATGTACCTTTGCCGTACCTTTCACTAGAGTAGAAAGAATATATTTTTCCTCCTCATTGATGTTGGGCTTTGGACATAGGACTTGTTTTGGCCAATGTAATGTGGACCGAAGTTACAGTGCACCAGTTGGTTGGGGATACGGTAGCCTTAAAAAGGACATCATGGGCCAGGCTCGGTGGCTCACGCCTGTAATCCCAGCACTTTGGGTGGCTGAGGCAGCAAGTGGATTGCTTGAGGACAGGAGTTCAAGACCAGCCTGGCCAATAGGGTGAAACCCTGTCTCCACAAAAAGTAAAAAATTAGCCAGGCATGGTGGTGAACACCTGTAGTCTCAGGTACTTGGCAGGCTGAGGCAAGATAATTGCTTGAATCCAGGAGGCAGAGATTGCAGTGAGCTGAGATTGTACCACTGCACTCCAGCCTGAGCAACAGAGCGAGACTCTGTCTCAAAAAAAAAAAAAAAAAAAAAGGACATCATATTTCTATTCAGTGCTATGTTCTTGGGAGCCACTAGAAGAAAGCATACCCCAGGTTGCTAATGCCCTATCAGCTTGGGCCCCAGAATTAAGATATGTGGAACCCAACCATAAGTCTGGGTTCTAACCTGGCCTAGCTGAGCCCAGCCTAGATCTGTGAACCTAGCCAATTCATGAGAAAAATAAATGCTTGTGTTTATAAGCCATGAAGAATTTTAAGGTGTTTTGTAATAAAACCTCTACCTAGTTTCCAGTTTCCTTAGGGGTAGATATCTTCTTCTCCTGCTGGGTAAAAAGATGGACACATTATCAACTCAGCTGATTAGCAAACTAAAAAAAAAAAAAAAATAGGTACATTCCTTCAAACACATTAAATGCTTTGTGTCCAGATCCAGATGACCAAGGCCTAGAGAGAGTAACCATTTTCCTCTCTAAGTCTGAGCTCCCGTATCATATCTCAAAATGTGTTTCTCTCTTCTCAGGATGACTGACATTAACCATATCTACTTCCTTCAAGGGGACCCACTCCTAATCACAGAAGTGGTTATACCCCTAGCAGCCCAAGTACATCAGAACATTACAGAGAATCCTCTACTTCTATCCTTCTAATTAGAAAAACAAGCAAACAGAAACCTCTATTATATAGACAAAGAAATCTTATTGTGAGAGGAAAAGCAAATGAATCCTGCCTGCCATCAACAGATTATTTTAGTGGTTGATTTTATTTTTTGGGTGGCTTGACATTACTAATAACACTATATTATACAAAGTGAAAAACTCGGGGTATGTTCAAAGTGATACCAGTCTGCATTCCCTTATTCAAAACCCCTGGGGGCAAATGTGCTTTGGAATTGAAAATATTTTGGATTTTAGAGAAGAATATGCAGAAACCATTTTAAAGTTCTCATTTTTTTTTAAATCTTAAAACCAGTTTTAATGGGGTATAATTTACATACGCTAAAATGCATCCATTTTAAGTATACCCAATGAATTTAGGCCATTGTATACCCTTGTACAACCACAATCAGGGTCAAGAACATTCCCAACACCCCAGAAAGTTCCTTCCAATACTTTTGGTCACAATCAAATCCCACAATTAAACACACTGAGATTTTTTTTTTTTTTTTTTGAGACGGAGTCTCGCTCTGTGGCCCAGGCTGGAGTGCAGTGGCGGGATCTCGGCTCACTGCAGGCTCCGCCCCCTGGGATTCACGACATTCTCCTGCTTCAGCCTCCTGAGTAGCTGGGACTACAGGCGCCCGCCACCTTGCCCGGCTAATTTTTTGTATTTTTAGTATAGATGGGGTTTCACCGTGTTAGCCAGGATGGTCTCAATCTCCTGACCTCGTGATCCACCCGCCTCAGCCTCCCAAAGTGCTGGGATTACAGGCGTGAGCCACCACACCCGGCAACACACTGAGATTTCTACACTGACATATGTGAGTATTGACACTAAATGGAATTAAGAATATTAATGCCTTATATCATATTGGGCCAGGTTTTCCCAATAAATAAGCTTGCCATAAGCTTTCAGAAACCTTTTAGTTTTCAAAACATCTTGGATTTTGAAATCATTGGTAAGAAATTATGGGCCTGTTGTAAAAAGAGTTATATCATAATGAAAAAGAAAGGTGATAATTACTCTTACTTATACATGTTAAGTGCTTGTATTAGAGACATCTGGGATTTATGAAAAATGAACTCATGAACAAAGGACCTTCTGAATAATCTTTTGAAAACTAACCTATTTTAAGAAAATTTTATTAGTGTATACTGTGTACCTAACAGTATACCTGGCACATAATAGATACCCAGTAATACATTTTTATTTTTTTCTGTTGATTCTACCCAACTCATATCTCCATACTCCTGTCTTTTTTTTTTTTTTTTTTTTGAGACCGAGTTTTGCCCTTGTCGCCCAGGCTGGAGTGCAATGGCACCATTTCTGCTCACTGCAACCTCCACCTCCCGAGTTCAAGTGATTCTCCTGCCTCAGCCTCCCGAGTAGCTGGGATTACAGGCACGCGCCACCACACCTGGCTAATGTTTGTATTTTTAGTAGAGACGGGGTTTTACCATGTTGGCTAGGCTCGTCTCGAACTCCTGACCTCAGGTGATCCACCCGCCTTGGCCTCCTGAAGTGCTGGGATTACAGGTGTGAGCCACTGTGCTCGGCCTCCTGTCTTTTTTAATATTAATATTTTCCTCAGAAACTTCCTGTGTTTATTTTAAAAAGCTCTAATTTTTTTTCTTGTTTATTGTCTGGCACATCTTCTAGAATTGTCCAGTACTGTAGTAATTAGCACATGTGGCTATTTATTTTTTATAAAGACAGGGTCTCATTCTGTCATCCAGGCTGGAGTGCAATGGTGTGATCATGCCTCGCTGTAACCTTGAACTCCTGGGCTCAAGTGATCCTCTCACCTCAGCCTCCCAAGTAGCTAGGACTTTAGGCATGTGCCACCATGCCTGGCTAATTTTTTTATATCACTTTTTTTGTAGAGAGTGCTTCTCACTATGTTGCCCAGGCTGGTCTTGAACTCCTGGGCTCAAGTGATCCTCCAGCCTCAGCCTCCTAAAGTGCTGGGATTATGGACGTAAACCACCGCTTCAGCCACATGTGGCTATTTAAATTTAAATTAATGGCAATTAAAACGAAAAAGTCAGTTCCTTTAGCCATGCTAGCCACATTTCAGTTGCTTGATAGCCACATGTAGCTAGTGGCTACAGTATCAGATAGTGCAGAATAGTTCCACCATTGCAGAATGTTCCGTTGGACAGAATTGTGCTGTCTTGTTCACCACTTAATTTTTAGTTCCTTGCACAGACGTTGGGATCCAGTAGATAATCAACAAATATTTGCTGAATAAATGTTTTTAGTTCTTCTGGAAACACCATCATGCACATGCAAAGCACAGAGTTTCTTCTGAAATAGATGTTTGAATAGCAGAGATTTTTGGTGGTTTTTTGTTTTTGTTTTTGACAGGGTCTCGCTGTTGCCCAGGCTGGAGTTCTGTGGTGCAATTATAGTTCACTGCAAACTTAAACTGCTGGGCTCAAGCAATCTTCTATCTTAGCCCCCAGGTAGCTGGGACTACAGGTATGTTTCACGATGGCCAACTAATTTTTAAATTTTTATTTTGTAAAGACGAGGTCTTGCTATGTTGACCAGGCTTTTTTTTTATTATTATTATTTTATTATTTTTATTTTTTTGAGACAGGGTCTTACTCTGTTGCCGAGGCTGGAGTGCAGTGGTGGGATCTCGGCTCATTGCAACCTCTGCCTCTTGGGTTCAAGCGATTCTCCTGCCTCAGCCTCCCTAGTAGCTAGGATTACAGGCATGCACCACCACGCCCGGCTAATTTTTTGTATTTTTAGTAGAGACGGGGTTTCACCATGTTGGGCAGGCTGGTCTCGAATTCCTGACCTCACATGATCCGCTTGCCTCGGCCTCCCAAAGTGCTGGGATTACAGGCATGAGCCACTGCATCTGACCTAAAATGATTTATTTGAAAAAGTAAGGCCGGTCGCAGTGGCTCACGCCTGTAATCCCAGCACTTTGGGAGGCTGAGGCGGACGGATCATGAGGTCAGAATATTAGAGACCATCCTGGCTAACACGGTGAAACCCCGTCTCTACTAAAAATACAAAAAATTAGCCGGATGTGGTGGCATGTGCTTGTAGTCCCAGCTACTTGGGAGGCTGAGGCAGGAGAATCGCTTGAACCCGGGAGGCGGAGGTTGCAGTAAGCCAAGATTGAGCCACTGCACTCCCAGCTTGGGCGACAGAGCGAGACTCTGTTTCAAAAAAAAAAAAAAAAAAAAAGTAAAAGATTAGATTAGATTCAGACTCTATTTAGTTTTGATTATTAATAGCTTTCAGACATTGGGTGCTTACTATATGCCAGGCACTGTTCTCAGTGTTTTACACATATTACCTCATTAATTTTCACAACAACCTTATGATGTATGCACTAGTCTCAATTTACAGATAAGGACGCTGAGACATAAAGAGGAAAGTAACTTGTCCAAGTTCACAGAGCTATTATGTGGAGGGCCAGGATTTAAGCCCAGGCTGTCTGGCTCCAGGTGCCAAGCAATTTACTGTAACACTTTGAACTCTTTATGATTATCTTTAATAAGGGCATTTATTTATTTATTTATTTATTTATTTATTTATTTATTTATTTTTGAGACAGAGTCTTGCTCTGTCGCCCAGGCTGGAGTGCAGTAGCGTGATCTCGGCTCACTGCAAGCTCCGCCTCCCGGGTTCATGCCATTCTCCTGCCTCAGCCTCCCGAGTAGCTGGGACTACAGGCGCCCGCCACCACACCCGGCTAATTTTGTATTTTTAGTAGACACGGGGTTTCACCGTGTTAGCCAGGATGTTCTCGATCTCCTGATCTCGTGATCCACCCGCCTCGGCCTCCCAAAGTGCTGGGATTACAGGCGTGAGCCACCGCGCCCGGCCAATAAGGACTTTTAAAATGAACTCTTTATGAGGCCGGACGCGGTGGCTCACACCTGAAATCCCAGCACTTTGGGAGGCTGAGGAGGGTGGCTCATGTGAGGTCAGGAGTTCGTGACCAACCTGGCCGACATGGTGAAACTCCATCTCTACTAAAAATATGAAAAAAAAAATTAGCTGGGTGTGATGGCCCCCGAGCCTGTAATCCCAGCTACCTGGCACTCTGCCTGAGGCAGGAGAATCACTTGAACCCGGGAGGCGAAAGTTGCAGTGGGCCGAGATCGAGGAACTGCCTTCCAGCCTGGCCAGAGCAAGACTCAAAAAACAAAACCAAACAAAAATAGGAAAAATAACTCTTTATGATTGTTTTTATTTTCATTTATTTTTATTTTTATTTTTAGACAGAATCTTGCTCTGTCCCAGGCTGGAGTGCAATGGTGTGATCTTAGCTCACTGCAACCTCTGCCTCCCGGATTCAAGCTATTCTCCTGCTTCAGCCTCCCGAGTAGCTGGGATTATAGGCGCCGGCCACCACACCTGGCTAATTTTTATATTTTTAGTGGAGATGGGGTTTCACCATGTTGGCCAGGCTGGTCTTGAACTCCTGACCTCGTGACCCACCTGCCTCGGCCTCTGAAAGTGTTGGGATTACAGGTGTGAGCCACCGCGCCTGGCCCCTATGATTATTATTTTTTTTTATTGTTTATTGTTTTGAGACGGGAGTCTCGCTCTGTCGCCCAGGCTAGAGTGCAGTGGCGCGATCTCGGCTCACTGCAACCTCCGCCTCCTGGGTTCAAGCAATTCTCCTGCCTCAGCCTCCTGAGTAGCTGGGATTACAGGTGCCCGCCACCACGCCCAGCTAATTTTTGTATTTTTAGTAGAGACGGGGTTTCACTATGTTGGTCAGGCTGGTCTCGAACCCCTGACCTTGTGATCCACCTGCTTCGGCCTCCCAAAGGGCTGGGATTACAGGCATGAGCCACTGTGCCTGGCCTGATTATTTTTAATAAGGACCATTTAGTCTCCTTCTTCCTTTATATTATACCTCTTCTTTCATTTTTTCTTATTTAACTTAGCTAGGACACACTCAAAAACGGTAAACAGCTACTATATCCCTGCCTCCTTATTGAGTTTCTGATTTTAAGGTGAAAGCCTCTGCCATTTCACTGAAATGTATGGTGTTGTTCTCTGATGATTATCTTGATCCAATTAAGGAAACATTCTTTTATTTCTAGTTTACTAAGAATTTAAAAAATTCAGGGTGGTTATTGAATGTTATACAATGTATCTCTAGAGACTATCATTTGGTTTTTCTCCTTCAATCTAATAAATTACACTAGTAGATTTCTTAATGTTAAATCACTGTTTCGGTTAAACCATATACTTTGTCATGATGTAAATTCTTTTTACTACCACATTGCTGGAATTTGATAACATCTTTTTTTTTTTTTTTTAAAGAGTCTCACTCTGTTGCCCAGGCTGGAGTGCGGTAGTATGACCTCGGCTCATTGCAAACTCTGCCTCCCGGGTTCAAGTGATTCTCCTGCCTCAGCCTCCTGGGTAGCTGGGACTACAGGCGCATGCCACCACGCCCGGCTAATTTTTGTATTTTTAGTAGAGACAGTGTTTCACCATGTTGGCCAGGCTAGTCTCAAACTCCTGACCTCAGGTGATCCACCTCCCTCAGCCCCGCAAAGTGCCAGGATTACAGGTGTGAGCCACTGCGCCCGGTCTGATAACTTCTTAATTCTTTTTATTTAAAAAAATTTTTTTTGTAGAGATGAAATCTCACTATGTTGCCCAGGCTGGTCTCAAACTCCTGGTCTCAACCCATCCTCCTGCCTCAGTCTTCCAAAGTCCTGCGATTACAGGTGTGAGCCACAGCACCAATAACAACTAAATACTCAATTTTGCCTTCATAACAAAATCATAGCAAGAAAGGAAGTTTCCCTTCTCTTTTTTGGGTACTGTTTGTCTTGGGTTTTAGTATAAGAGTTATGCTGCCTTGTGGAATAAACTGGGAAAGGGTCTCCTTTTTTTGAGATATTTTGGTCTCTCTAAAATCTAGCCAGTTTTGGGTACCCCATCTCATTCTTTTCTTCCTTCCAGTGGTGCCCCAACAGCACCATCAATCATTTTACCATGAGGATTTCTCACACTAGCTCTCAAGGTTCCTCATAAAGTGGGCTCACAATGCTGATCTCCAACAAAGCCTTTGTGTCATTCAACTTTATCACATTACTTACACATGTCACAGACCTTCCCATTTTCAAGGCTTTGCTAATTTCATGACATTTGCCTTGTTAAATCCTGACTATTAGTGTTTGGGCTGGTACTGGGTGTTGATTATGGCACAAGGGAACTAACATTTCAGGCAGAGACTGTGTACCTGCTTAACACCCTTCATTTTATTTAACCATCAGAATCCTGGGAAGTTTTGTTATTTTTATTTGCTGGATAGGAAAATAAACGTTATACAATATACACTAATAAACGGAGGTGCCATTAAATACCAGTACTGCTTGATTCCAAAGTGACTGCTGCCTCCCCTACACTGTTTCACCTCCTCCATTATGTTCCCGAGGTAGTCTCTCATGCTGACCTGTATGTCCTCCGTACTCCATTAGCAAATTATACACTGTATCGCACCATCTTACATTTACACTCTTGTATTTTCTATTTTCGTATATGTAGTGCTTGTCGCACTCACAGCAGTTGATAATAATCTCTCAGAATAATTTTTTTTTCCCCTCAGAATGATCTGTCAGCGTCTGTTCATCCGACTCCGTATTTGGATATCATATAAATCGCGGGAAAAAATAAAAGGTGATTAAATACAAATAATTTTGACTGTGTTAGTCTTAGCTGCGTGTTGCAAGAAATGCAAAACGTCTTTCAAAATAAGTTTAACTCTCAATGAATCTCCCTGTGGCTTTTTAGCGACACTGCAAAACTAGTGCCTAAAAACACAGTGACTTGGCATTTGTGACTACTGATCACCTCCTCACTCAAGCACATCAAACAGCGGGATATCCTGGAAGTCGCACCTACAACCCGGACTTCCTAACAAGGAAAGCTAGACGAAGGGACGGTCTCTCCCAACCGCAGCGCGATGCGGGTCCTCCCCCCATCAGCTTCAGTCCGATGGAACATTCCGTGCGATCGCTTTGACCGGGCGCCACTCGGCGTCACGTGGAACTGGAGCGCCCTGGCGGAGCCCGGCGGAATGACGCGGGCTTGGGTTGCCAAGGGGAGGGACGAGGCGCCGCGGAAGAGGCGGAGCGAAGGAAGCCGGCCGTGGGGCGGGGTGCGGAGCGCAGGGGCGGGCAGAGAGGGGCGCGCGGGCGGGGAGGGCCCAGCGTATTATGGGATGCGGCGGTGGAATGGGGCTGGGCGCGTGATTTTGAACAAACCCTGGTCTGTGTCTCGGAGGCGCCGCCGCCGCCGCTGCTGCTGGGAGCCCAGGGAGCGCCGCGCGACCAGGAGGCGGCGGCGCCGCCGGCTTTGGTGAGTGTCAGCCCCCGGGATGGGGGCTCCTGGGCGGGCTGGCGGGAAGGGGGAACCGGCCCCCGCTGCGAGTGCCTGCGCGGGCGGAGAGCGCTGGACCGCTCCCTCCGGGAGCCCGGGCCGGTGGGCCTTGGCGGGGAGCGGGAACCCGCCAGCGGGGTCCGCCGCGCCCCTTCCCTGAAGCTGGGTTGCGGGGGGCGAAGGATCCTTGGGGCTCGGTCTCTTCCCGTCGGCTCCCGAGAGGGTGGCTGTCACCCGGCAGGGCCAGCGCTCGGCCAGCCGCCTGCCCGGCGGTCTGGAGTAAGGGCTCCTGCGGCTGTTGACACGCACACTGCGCGACCCAACAAGCCACCCGTGGCGGCCCCAGGTTTCTGGGAACCGGTTTTGCTGCTGTGTCATTTTGTGCCAGTCCCTCCTCTCCCTACTGCCCGCCGCCGCGTTCTTCCTATGCCCCTTTGTACAGGCTCTTGTTCGTGCGTGTCCGTTTTCCTCGCGAAGCCC